>NC_000006.12:100222305-100373820 GCF_000001405.40 Homo sapiens | reverse complement strand
GTGGGGTATTCTTAATGGCTATAAAGATTTCTTCTTGGATAACTTTGCCAGCATGTACAAAGAACTTTATTGTGCTCAGAACATAAAGTTAATCACCATGGCAGTAGACAATGGGAAGAGGGCTTGCAACAAACCTGGAAATTTACCATACATTTTCATGCTTAATCTTCATTAGACAGATGAGGAAATTGAGGCATGGAGATTTTTAAACGACTTACTCTAGGTCACTTAGGTCACGAGTCAGACTTTTCATTTATAATAAAGATAAAATATCATAATTTGGTTATGGGTGAATGAAGCTGTGGTCATATATCAGGGTAGTGGGCATCTGCTTCTTAAATGTGTTGGGAAAACCTGGACTGCCACAGAAGCTGTGTGCCCAAAAGCAAATGGAAGCTGCCAAACTGCCATGATGAGGATATTGGCATTGGGGGTGTAGGATGGATGGCCAGAGTATTTTCAGGTGTGTTGATAAGGAAGACCAATGGAAGATGACACTTTCCTCATTTCACTCTGAGTGGTTGGGTGCATTTTTGAAGTGGGCTTCCAAGTTTTCTCATTATACCACAACTGGGGAAATTTGAGTATAAGATACAGATTCCCTAAGCCTGAGAGATTGCAGATCGCCTCACTGTTGTCTAATCTGCAATCTGGCTGAGGCATTTCCCCTACTCTCTGATAGTCCCACTGGGGACAGAAGGGGCTTCTCCTTGCTGCACCCATTTAGCAACAAACAACAGCTGGGTAGTTTGGATCCAATTTAGCTACATAATTTGCAAGTGGCTCTAAGCAGACCTGAGGAATCCCACGACTTTCTCTTAGCTGTGTGTGTTGAGTTCAGGAAGTGGAAACACAACAACGTCTCTCTGGCCTCCCAGGCTACCATGAGAGCCGCAGCTTAATGCGGAACTGATTTCTTTCTTTGAGCAATAATAGCAAAGCAAGCACTTCAAAAAGACCAATCCATCTCCTCTCTGTAAAACGTTAATACCCTTCAGTGTACAAAAAAGAGAACAAGCTTCTCACCCTTTGCATGGCAAACACCAACTGAGAAAAGTAAAAAGAACCAAGGACATTTGAATATCCTCTTTTGCAATCCATCCATTATCCGTTTATCCCATATTGCAAAAAAGCCCATCCTCCGTGTGGCTTTCCTGTAAGCTTGAGCTTTGCTTACACTTGGGGTTTTTGGGGGAGGGACAGGATCCTCAGTGAAGCAGACTCCAGCCCTCCCCAGGAGGCTGGCGACATGAGGATCCAGCTCCTGGCTGTTGGCTGTGCTCCTTCATATCAAAGCCAATGCCTCCAAGTGGAATTAGGACCAGACGTTTAGGAGTGGAGAAGCTGTTTTCAAGATGCACATGAGCATGAACTTCTGAAGTGCTTGCGACACTGTCATCCTGTCCTGCCCAATCCCCTTTTGAAAGGTTACACCACTGGGCTCTTCATTTCTCTTTGCTTTCACCAGCTTTCTATGCTCTTCAGTGCCCGTGCTAAGAGCACGCAGTCACTTTCAGCGGGAGAGGTTTTTGATGAGGAGATGGGTAAGGAGAAGTAGTGAAAAGTTTCCTTAGTTTCACACATCCTTTTACATGATATGAGGGAATCAGGGACAAGTTCTTTTGTCTTGCTTAGTGCCTCAATATAGGTAGCGAACTATGCTCCATTCAGAAGAAAACTTCAGGCCCTCTGGGGAGTAGAAGAAAGGAATTCACATTGCATATTCTGGATAAAAAATGTTTGAAATAAATTACTATTTTTAGGGAGAAATAACATTGGCATGTCACCCTAATTATATCATAGAATCCTAGTGCAGGAGGAGATTTTTAGCGTAACCCTCTACTTGTATAATAATAATAATTAACAAATATCAGCTGTGTACTACATGGCGAACCCTGTGCTGTGCTGGTGACTTTATATGTAATATCTTCTCAGATCTTTACCTGTGGTCCTGTGAATCAAGTACTATTATTATCCAATTGTATAGACCAAGCCAACTGAGGGTTTGGTCTGCACAATGTAGATAATAATAGTACTTGATTCACGGGAACATATTTGCTTAAGTTCTCACTGCTAGTTAGTGCTGGGGCTGAGATTTAAACACAGGTTCTGACTCCAGGTCTGATGATCTGAACCACCACAGAAACCAAGCAAGGCCCAGAGCCTCCTAAGCTCACGTTCTAATTATTGCACTAAATTGCCACTTACACTTCTGGTGTATGGGATAACTGGGAGAGTTTGCTGATGATATCAAACAATGTCAGTCACATATTTTACAAAAGAAAAAAATTATTTGAATTGAAAAGTTCCTGTTTTTTAAATGTGCCTAATATATGAGTCACTCAAACATTAGAATTTGTTTGGAAATTTATAACTAATATTATCAACACTGACAGTGTGTGTGGGTGTAGTGTGGATGTAAGATGTGGGCTGGTGGGATGGAAGAGAAAAGCAATAAGGAATAATTTTAGGGTGTTAGCACACTGTGAAGGTTGGTAGAGGTAAGAAGTAAATATTGGGCCTACACAATAAGATTTCAATGGTCTGGACAGGCCTTCTGACTTTCAACCTGTTTGTGAAGGCTGAAACTCTTAATACTTCTTCCTGACAGTCTGTTACAATAGGAAACCATAGCCTCATTATTTATTTGTCCCTTAGTGGGAACTAGTTCATGGTTTTTTCATTGGACATTATACGTTATGGAAGTAGGCAAATGGCAAATACAGTAGAAACATAGGAAGTGAAAAAATGGGTGAGGGAAAATATTCAGAAAGGTAATATCCATGTAAATAGATCTCAGTTTGCCCAGAGCAGGCTTTACTGTAACCTTGTGTTTCCTTGAAATCTATCCATGTAACAAAATTACACTTGTACCCCACAAATTTATACAAATTTTTAAAAAAGAGAAAGGTCTGGGTCTGTGAAATTAGAATCGAGTTAGTCTTTGGGGTTTTTTTGCAACAATGGAGAAATACTTGCCCACAATCTTATCTAACTGATTTGATTGATTTAGTAAATATTTTGAAACAAAGATTTTTCTATAAGGACAATCTATAAAGGAAAGAAACAAGTGGTTTTTTAAAAGTATTGTTTTCAAATTATGGAAAAACATGTTATTGTATTAATGACTGGGATGAGGAAAATCACCATTCACAAGGCAATTCTGGAAAGAGGATTGTTAACACTAATTAAACTAAAAATGATACCACCTAAGCATGTACATAATGATTTTAAATTTACAAGCTCCTTTCATATGTATCTTGTTGATCCTCTCAAGACCGAGCAGATGTCACCATCTGTATTTTATAAAGAAGAAAACATGACAAAAATAAGATGATTTTCTGAAGAGCCCCCATGTGGCAAGTTTAGGACTTGAACTTGGATCTTCTAGTTCAAGTTAATGGATCATCTATGTCCTAGTGCAGGGCAAATGCTATATAAACTTTATCATGGCAAGTGAGTCTGGTTCAAACCTCTGTCTAGGATCCAATAAAAAGTTCCAAGTGCATGAATAATGTTGCCTTATGCACTAGCAGGAAATTATTTCTTTTATAATAATATTTTTTTCAGACTTAAAAATGCATTTTCATTGTAGAAATTTAGAAATAAGGAGGAAATTATGAAATATTCACAATCCCATCATCCGGAGATAACAATTCTTATAATTTTTGTATATTTTCTTCTGGAATTTATGGATCTATCTATCTACCTATCTATATATCTATTTATTTATCCATCCATCTGGATCTATGGATCTATCTATCTATCTGGATCGCTATCTATCTATCTACTGTGTATGTATATACTGTTTGGTATCCTGTTCTTTATATATTCATTTGTGATAAAGAGGATCTCTAGATGACAGTCAGTTGATGGTATAAATAACTCTTTTGAAGGGAAAGTGAAATGTATATGTAACCTGTAACCTGGAAAAAAGAGGAGAATGGATGAAGATACTGCTGAATCAAGCCAGTTCCTGCTCATATGATTAATAAGTGAAGAGCAAGAGATTTTATTTTTCTGGTCAAAGATTGAGATGTGTGACACTTGGCACACTGTGGCACACAACAGAGGCTGCAAATCTGTAGTGTGCTCTGAGAAGTTTCTTTTCTCTACAGGCTGAAGCACAGGGAACTTAGCTTACCTCTTACCTACTCATCTGACAAAGGGCTAATATCCAGAATCTACAATGAACTCAAACAAATTTACAAGAAAAAAACAAACAACCCCATCAAAAAGTGGGCAAAGACATGAACAGACACTTCTCAAAAGAAGACATTTATGCAGCCAAAAAACACATGAAAAAATGCTCACCATCACTGGCCATCAGAGAAATGCAAATCAAAACCACAATGAGATACCATCTCACACCAGTTAGAATGGCAATCATTAAAAAGTCAGGAAACAACAGTTGCTGGAGAGGATGTGGAGAAATAGGAACACTTTTACACTGTTGGTGGGACTGTAAACTAGTTCAACCATTGTGGAAGTCAGTGTGGCGATTCCTCAGGGATCTAGAACTAGAAATACCATTTGACCCAGCCATCCCATTACTGGGTATATACCCAAAGGACTATAAATCATGCTGCTATAAAGACACATGCACACGTATGTTTATTGCGGCACTATTCACAATAGCAAAGACTTGGAACCAACCCAAATGTCCAACAACAATAGACTGGATTAAGAAAATGTGGCACATATACACCATGGAATACTATGCAGCCATAAAAAATGATGAGTTCATGTCCTTTGTAGGGACATGGATAAAATTGGAAATCATCATTCTCAGTAAACTATCGCAAGGACAAAAAAACAAACACCACATGTTCTCACTCATAGATGGGAATTGAACAATGAGAACACATGGACACAGGAAGGGGAACATCAAACTCTGGGGACTGTTGTGGGGTGGGGGGAGGGGGGAGGGATAGCATTAGGAGATATACCTAATGCTAAATGACGAGTTAATGGGTGCAGCACACCAGCATGGCACATGTATACATATGTAACTAACCTGCACATTGTGCACATGTACCCTAAAACTTAAAGTATAATAATTAAAAAAAAAATGGCTGCCTAGGGCTGACAGTTGCTCAGTGTAGGCCTCTGTCTTAGTCCATGTGGGCTACTATAGCAGATTGCCATGGACTGGGTGGCTTATGAACCACAGAGATTTATTTCTCAAAGTTCCAGAGTCTAGAAGGTCCAAGATCAAGGTGCTGGGATTGGGTGTCTGGTAAGGGACTTCTTCCTGGTTCATAGAAGACCATCTTCTTCCTCTGTCCTAGCATGGCAGAATGGGCAAGGAACTCTCCGGGCCTCTTTTATAATGGCACTAGTCCCATTCATGAGGGCTCCGCCTTTATGACCTAATCTCCGAATACCCTTACATTGACGGATTAGGTTTCAAACATATGAATTTCGGCGGGGAGACACAAACATTCAGTCTATAGTAGTCTTTTTAATAGCATGGAAACCTCAAATAAAAATATATTTTTTTCAGAAGTTGGTGAAATTGTGAACAAATTAAGAATTGCTGAGATTAAGAGTTTTAATGAAGGGTGTAGTAGTAAAGGGTTGGGGAATGTATTAGTTTTCTATTGCTGTGTAACACATTTTCATAAATGTAACAGCTTATTGCAATACTCATTTATTATTTTTGTTGTTATTACTGAGTTCTTTCTTGCCCAAGCTGGAGTGTGGTGGCTTGATCACGGCTAGCTGGAGCCTCAACCTCCCCGAGCTCAGGCAATCCTCCCACCTTAGCCCTGCCAGTGGGTAGGACTACAGGGGTACACCACCACAACCGGCTAATTTTTGTGTTTTTTTTGTAGAGACCAGGTTTTGCAATGTTGCCCAGGCTAGTCTTGAAATCCCGGGCTCAAGTGATCCATCCACCTCAGCTTACCAAAGTGATGGGATTGCAGGTGTAGCCACTGTGCCTGGCTGAAATACTCATTTATTAGCTCACAGGTCTGTAGTTCAGAAATCTCGGCAGGAACAACAGGGTTCTCTGCTCAAGGCCTCACAAAACTCTGATCAAGGTATCGGCCAGGCTGGGCTTTTTTCTGGAAGGCTGGAGGGAAAAATCTGCTAAGCTAATTTGGGTAATTGGTCAAATTCAGTTCAGCTCCTTCTGGTTGTAAGACTGAGGTTCTGTTTCTTAGTGTCAGTTTTCAGCAGGGACCTCTCTCTGCCCTAAAGTCTGCCCTCACTCCTTGGCACATCTTCAAACCAGCAGTGGCGTATAAAATGTCCCTCATGCTTTGAATCTCTAACTTCCTCTTCTGCCACCAGCTAGAGAAAACTCTCTGTTTTTAAAGGGCTCACTTGATTGTGTCAAGCCTATCAAAATCTCCATACCTTAAGGTCAACTAACTTGAAACTTTAATTACACCTACAAATTCCCTTCACAGCAGTATGTAGATTAGTGTTTGCTTGAATGGGCATGGAATAGAAATCTTGGGTTTAGGAAGGGCATCTTTAGAATTCTGCCTGTGTGTCACAGGGAAGTTAAAACAGTACTATTTTTGTTATCTACCAAATCAGGCCTTGAGTCTCCTCTGTACTTCCACACAGAAAGATTGAAAAATGTCGTTGGCTTAGAAAACTTAATAGGGCCAGGTGTGGTGGCTCACGCCTGTAATCCCAACACTTTGGGAGGCCGAGGTGGGTGGATCACCTGAGGTCAGTAGTTCGAGACCAGCCTGGTCAACCTAGTGTAACCTTGTCTCTACTAAAAATACAAAAATTAGACAGGTGTGGTGGTGTAAGCCTGTAATCCCAGCTACCCAGGAGCCGAGGCAGGAGAATCGCTTGAAGCTGGGAGGCAGAGTTTGCAGTGAGCTAAGACCATGCCACTACCCTCCAGCCTGGGTGACAAAGTGAGACTCCATCTCAAAAAAAAAAAAAAAAAAAGAAAACCTAATAGGAAAATTACTTTTATTATCATATTAAAGTAACTGGTCACACAAGTGGTAAGAGAAAGTGTTAGGCCTCAAAGCCTCCTGTCTGCTTTTGAGGCCAAGCTCTTAGGCTCCTGGAGTCACCCTTTGCTAGTATCTTTTCATGGGTTTGTTGAAAGACAAAGCTCATAGATACTGCATGGGGACTGTGGGGTAAAGGTCATCTATGTTTCATATGTTACATCATTTGACTCATATTTGAGTAACAATGTCTTGAGCCACCTAATAGGAGCTAGGAACCTTAGGCAGTACGTGCGTATGAGTCGTTTCCATGTGGCTATGAAGAACTGCCCGAGACTGGGTAATTTATAAAGGAAACAGCTTTAATTGACTCACAGTTCAGCATGGCTGGGGAAGCGTCAAGAAAGTTACAATCATGGTGGAAGGGGAAGCAAGGCACCTTCCTCACAAGGTGGCAGGAAGGAGAGGTGACCAGTAAAGTGGGGAAGAGCCCCTTATAAAAGCATCAGATCTCGTGAGAACCCATTCACTATCACGAGAACAGCATGGAGGTAACCACACCCATGATTCAATTACCTCCACCTGGTCTTCCCCTTGACACATGGGGATTATGGGGATTACAATTCAAGATGAGATTCAGGTGGGAACACAAAGCCTAACCATATCAATGTGCTAAGCCCAAGGTTCTGCTTGGGAAGAATTCCTATGCTCAGGCATGGGGCCAGCTATTGGCTCGGAATAACCAATGGTTATTTTTCTACACATAAATGGCATGAGAAGTATTTAAAGCATTACACTGGGTATCAGTTTCAGGTAGATTGTCACCTTCTAGTTATTAAGGGCTGGTCATGGTTAAGAACTTGGACCCTGGAGCCAGGTTCCCTATATTCAAATTCCAGCGTTGCCCCAAATCAGCCCCCGGCCTTAGGCAAGTTACTTCTCCCAGTCTCCATTTCCTGTCTGTAAAATGGGGACAATAATAGAACCTGCCTCAAAGGACCTAGAACAACATCTGGCACATAGCAAGGACTCAGAATATGTTGGCTGATATTTTCTTACTGTAAAGTATAGAAAGCTTAATTTGTTCTTATTTTGTGGTTCTATTTTTGTCAATCTTGTAAAGGTAGTTTGATCTTCTTGCTGAAAAATGATTGAAACAAAGTGTCTTAGACAAAAGTAAAGTAAAAATTTCTAAACAAAGCAATTTTTGCTCCTTTGTTAGAGGGTAATTCCACCACCACCCCACCCCCCGACCACCACATTGATAACTATAGTTTCTATAGAAGAAACATAATTCCTGAATTAGCTCTTACAGGATAGTACCATGGAAGAGATTGTTTGCCAGTGTATTTCCATGACCTAACAGACACAAGTTGCCTCTAGATTTGAATCATGTAATTACATTTTCCTCCTCTTCTAACAGGACTACATTTTATAATACCTGTAGTGAGTTAGTATAAAGATTATTACCCTTTACAGCAGTACTCTCAATTTAATTGATACTCAGGATCTTCTGCAAAATATGTGGAATCCCAGAATCACTTTTAAAATGAAAGCTATGGGATAGATAGAGAAATTGCGAGGAAGATCATGTTCTTGATTGGTAACACAACAGTGTTTTCAGGTTACATATAATATCCCAACACCATTACTTTATTCCATTCTCAGGACTGTCAGAAAAATAACTAAGAGAAGCTGAGATGAGATCTAGGAGAAATAAGTAATAAGATTATTAGAAAATATAGAATTCACTGTGCTTTGGGGCTTGGGTTTTACCTTCTTATTACAAAGGATATTCGTTTTGAGTCAAGTAAAAGGAGAATATAAAATATAAACACTGGTATGAAAAGGTTAGTGGGAAGAATATTTTACATTCTCAAAAAAGGCAACTGGTATATGGTGTGCTTAAGATTTGTAAATTCATATACAATAATTAATGAAACAGCTGACAATTATTGAATATCTACTAGGTGCCAGGCTCTTTACACATACTCTCTCACTTAATGGTCATAAATGTTACATCATATACATACTATTGCTGTGATAAGTCTATTAAGGCATTGCTTGCAGACTTGTATGTCTGCAAGGCATTGCTTCCTTTTTCCATCTTTAAATCCCAACTAAACTCCTACCAATGCCCTTTGTCTCAAGGATGACTGGTAAGAAGGAGAGTGTCTTGTCACAAAACGTGTGGTGCTCTCCAGAATCTATTTTCTCCTCTTTTTTCTGGCATACTATAAGACTATATTTTCTAGCCCCCTTGTATCCAGATGGGGCCATAATTAAGTCTTGGAGAATAAAATGTGGTGGACATGATGCAAGCTTCTTGTAGGCCTGGCTTCTAAATCCTCTGCATTTTCCTGAGCTTTCTTTCTGCAGACTGGATGCAGGAGATCCAGTGATGGACACCAAGGCCATAGAATATGAAGAAACTACAACTACCAAATAGGTGGAACCTAGCTCCCACATTGGTGAGTAAAACTATCTCCACACTCTGTCCTTTGGCAGGAGTGTGAAATACTTTTGTTGTGTTAAGCTAATTTAAATTTTGGAGTTTGTTATATTAGTTAACATTACTTACCCCCACCTAAACCAGTTAGTATAAGTGTTTATATATTTGCTAATACAAAAATGAGTCAAAATAATAAAAGTGGCAACATCTATTGTCTGTTAATTAAATGCCAAAGACTGAAGCATAGAGAGGTTAAGTCACTTAACCAAGGCCACCAGATAATGAGTGATAGCACCAGGATTGAAAGCTGGGGAGAATGGCCTTGAAGTTCATGCATTTGTCCATTTTGCTTTGGCATTTGTTTATAAAACATATCATGTTATCATTAATTTTGCTTTAAAGAAGTAAATCATGGAGTGAAGTGAGCTTCAGCTAAGTTTTTGCTCTAATCATCATTTTTAAAAATCTTGTGATAAGTAGCAACAAGTAACTATAATTTTCATAGCTGAAAACCTCAGTCCTTAGGTCACTGAATAATTATTGTAGCACTTATAGCAATGTAAATACATATGCATCATCTTTATAGTTTTCTTTCCCAGCTGGGCCAGAATACCTCCACTGAGACATGTCATATCATGTCTACCCATTTTTTTTGTTTTTTTTTTATTTGGCAGGATTACTTTTTATTCCCATTAGTCCACATCTTCCACATTTCTCTCTGTACTCCAGCTATCAAAGGAGAATAGCCTTTAAAACACCAGGATCCTGGTCGAGATGGTAGAGGTGGTCTGTTTGAATTTGGGTGAATAGAGGAAATGCCAGTTAAGGGATAGCCATTCTACAGACAAAAATGCAGCCGTCTATACTTTTACTCCGTGGTAATACATTATTTGTATTTCTTCTTTCTTAAGCCTCTTGTCTGTTTGTCTTAGGTATTTGTCTTATGTATTTGTCACCTACATAAAATATGCTCACTAAAACGCCACTGACTTTAAGGAATTTTAAGTATGATTATATGTGGTCCTTGTAGAAAAACCATCTTTAAAGTGTAAAAAAAGAAGTTTTTTTAAAAGCTAAATTAGAAACAAAAAAGATCTGAAAACTCTGGAATGTATACATATAGAAATGGTTTTTTGAGGACCATATGTTCCTCTTTGTAATACAAATGTGTCGAAAGAGCAAATATCTGCAAAAATCAACTACAAAGAATACCATGCGAGTTAATGCATATCAAGCCGTTCAGTCAGAGAAAAATTTGGAGTAACCAGCAGTGGGTCCATCCAGATCCTCTCTCTGCAACGGTGATAAAATTCCAGATGCTGTGCCAGCCGTGTGTGTGGAGGCTCCAGGTTGGAGATACCCCTGGGATGTGTGTGTGTGGGGAGAGGGGCAGGACCAGCTCAGCCCTGCCATTTGAAAGCTTTGCACAGCCTGTTTGGAATGCTAATGGGTTATGCTTTCTGCTTATAGAGAAGGTTGGTTTTTTTGCAAAGCGTTAAATCCTTCTCTCCTTTCTCTCCCTCCTCTATAATTCCAGTAGTAATTCTAGCACATTCTATCGATTGACTCATTCTGGACTGATTTTTACATTCTAATTTGAAGAATATATGCTCTAACCCACAGGAACATAAGAAAGGCATAATAAGGAAAGCAGGCCAAGTTAAAAAGGAGTAAGATGTGAAAGTACTCAAAGAGCTACTCAAGAAGAGGAAAGGAGAGAGAGGGAGGGAAACGAGGAGCTGGTTAGTGTGGGTGTTATCTGTGCAAGGCAGCAACTTGGAGTTCCTGAACATGTAATGGACCCTCGCCTAATAATACAGCAATGTCAATATTAGCTGTGGTTTTGACTTCAGTTATAATATATTAATTTATATATAGAACACATATTGCAAACAGTGAGAACTGGTTTTTAATCTGACAGACCATCAAAGGGAATTGTGTTAACTAGCAATTTCACACATCTTCAGCTGCATGATAAATGATGTTAAATGATGTTGTGCTTGTACAGAATGGGATCCTCAAGGGCCTGCACACCATTAAGGGAAAAAAAAAAACCAAGTTTATTCCATTTAAGGCAGTGAGTGTCCTTTTTTCATTCATATCTGTGAAAAACGGTAATCCATACACAGCATATGTGATAACCAGCGTGCTTTATTAACAAGAACATTTTATTTCTAATAAGGCTGTGAATAATTTATACTCAACAAACTGAGTTTCTCTAACTCATATTCCTTCTTATTTTGAAGTGGAGCTTTTCAGGGTACTTAACTCTGATGTCTGGGGATGATGTTGAGGCTCATTTGCTGAGGACCAGAGAAGGAAAGTGTATTTTAGGGCTTCCCACTGTGCCTTCTTCTCCCTCACATTCCAGTCAGTTTCTTCCCTTAGGAAGCCCTGAGATAATCATATTCAGGTTTCTGCTCTCACTGGATGCTGCTGTTCAGCCCTACATCACTCTCCTTGAATTTGTTTCTAGCCGTAGCTTCTCCTAATCTTTGAACTTTTATTTTCCCATCCCAGCTATTAGAATTCTTGTTGCCTTGGCAGTTCCATGCACAGAACAGTATAGCTAAGAGTAGACTTGTTTCGTTGAGAGTCATTGCTTTAATTGACAGCATCTGTGCTCTTTGAGAGCAATGTGAGCCCATCCATGAGAAAGCCCACCCAGGTTACTGGGAAGTGTGTGCAGAGGTAGCAACAGTGACTTTGAAAGGCACAGAGAACTTTAGAAGTTTTGCTTTGGAACTTCAAGATCTTCTCTTCCTTCCAACTAAGGCTAGATGAAAACTAACATTCAAGTATCTACTAACTGCTGAATGCTGACAGGGTGGTAGAGTACTAGATCAAACCTCTCTATATAACAATTCTCTGCCATATGCCCCTGGTTTGGGAAATCTCTGGATCCTAGAGTGTCTATCAGAACTGGCACCAAGCAGCTATCAAACAACTGAAACATTTTATTTTTCAAGACAATTTTATATCACTTCCAGACCTTAAAACTTTTTCCATTTTACTGAAAATTCTTGGTTTATTTGTTGGCAGATCAAACGCTGTTCTTAAGTGCACATATTTTAAAATTAACTGTCCTTTAACTTCAGTGAACAAAACCTGCCTGGAAAGCTTTTCACCCCAACACAAACTCTTTTAATTCTTCTCAATTCATATGAAACGAGGAAAAAATTTAACTCTCAGGACCTGTGGAATGAGTATCTCTCTACATATGGTGCAGAGCATGTGTGCTTAACAGTTTTCTAAGGCAATAACGTTTAGTGTTGAGTAGCTGGTGAATTTTGTATGTTTTGAGCCTTTGTTAGTGCAATTATTTAAATTTCATTTTTAAGTTTGAGTATATTTATTTTATGAGGAAGGTAGGTGATACCTACTAATGTTGAAGCAACATTCATGTGACTATGCAGCTCCAGGCAGCCTCAGTTTCTCCCTCTCCTGGACTCTGGATTGGACAGACTTATTATTCTGAGGGTTCCAGTGTGGTTTTTTTGGTTGAAGCCCTGGCTCTGCCATTTTCTAGCTCTGTGACCCTTGAAAATTTTCTTGATCACTCTAAGCCTCAGTTGCATCATTTGTAAAGTGGAGATGAAACTAATACCTTATCATAGATAGGGTTGCTGGATTATTAATTGAGCTACTACACCTAAAAGGCTTAGAATACAGTCTCAGAACATGTTAGCAATTATTTTGAAGTGGAAACATATCTTTTTTTTTATTATTATACTTTAAGTTTTAGGGTACATGTGCACATTGTGCAGGTTAGTTACATATGTATACATGTGCCATGCTGGTGCACTGCACCCACTAACTCGTCATCTAGCACTAGGTATATCTCCCAGTGCTATCCCTCCCCCCTCCCCCCACCCCACAACAGTCCCCAGAGTGTGATATTCCCCTTCCTGTGTCCATGTGATCTCATTGTTCAATTCCCACCTATGAGTGAGAATATGCGGTGTTTGGTTTTTTGTCCTTGCGATAGTTTACTGAGAATGATGTTTTCCAATTTCATCCATGTCCCTACAAAGGACATGAACTCATCATTTTTTATGGCTGCATAGTATTCCATGGTGTGTATGTGCCACATTTTCTTAATCCAGTCTATCATTGTTGGACATTTGGGTTGGTTCCAAGTCTTTGCTATCATGAATAATGCCGCAATAAACATACGTGTGCATGTGTCTTTATAGCAGCATGATTTATAGTCCTTTGGGTATATACCCAGTAATGGGACGGCTGGGTCAAATGGTATTTCCAGTTCTAGATCCCTGAGGAATCGCCACACTGACTTCCACAATGGTTGAACTAGTTTACAGTCCCACCAACAGTGTAAAAGTGTTCCTATTTCTCCACATCCTCTCCAGCACCTGTTGTTTCCTGACTTTTTAATGATTGCCATTCTAACTGGTGTGAGATGGTATCTCATTGTGGTTTTGATTTGCATTTCTCTGATGGCCAGTGATGATGAGCATTTTTTCATGTGTTTTTTGGCTGCATAAATGTCTTCTTTTGAGAAGTGTCTGTTCATGTCCTTCGCCCACTTTTTGATGGGGTTGTTTGTTTTTTTCTTGTAAATTTGTTTGAGTTCATTGTAGATTCTGGATACTAGCCCTTTGTCAGATGAGTAGGTTGTGAAAATTTTCTCCCATTTTGTAGGTTGCCTGTTCACTCTCATGGTAGTTTCTTTTGCTGTGCAGAAGCTCTTTAGTTTAATTAGATCCCATTTGTCAATTTTGTCTTTTGTTGCCATTGCTTTTGGTGTTTTGGACATGAAGTCCTTGCCCATGCCTATGTCCTGAATGGTAATGCCTAGGTTTTCTTCTAGGGTTTTTATGGTTTTAGGTCTAACGTTTAAGTCTTTAATCCATCTTGAATTGATTTTTGTATAAGGTGTAAGGAAGGGATCCAGTTTCAGCTTTCTACATATGGCTAGCCAGTTTTCCCAGCACCATTTATTAAATAGGGAATCCTTTCCCCATTGTTGTTTCTCTCAGGTTTGTCAAAGATCAGATACTTGTAGATATGCGGTGTTATTTCTGAGGGCTCTGTTCTGTTCCATTGATCTATATCTCTGTTTCGGTACCAGTACCATGCTGTTTTGGTTACTGTAGCCTTGTAGTATAGTTTGAAGTCAGGTAGTGTGATGCCTCCAGCTTTGTTCTTTTGGCTTAGGATTGACTTGGCGATGCAGGCTCTTTTATGATTCCATATGAACTTTAGTTTTTTCCAATTCTGTGAAGAAAGGCATTGGTAGCTTGATGGGGATGGCATTGAATCTGTAAATTACCTTGGGCAGTATGGCCATTTTCACGATATTGATTCTTCCTACCCATGAGCATGGAATGTTCTTCCATTTGTTTGTATCCTCTTTTATTTCCTTGAGCAGTGGTTTGTAGTTCTCCTTGAAGAGGTCCTTCACGTCCCTTGTAAGTTGGATTCCTAGGTATTTTATTCTCTTTGAAACAATTGTGAATGGGAGTTCACTCATGATTTGGCTCTCTGTTTGTCTGTTGCTGGTGTATAAGAATGCTTGTGATTTTTGTACATTGATTTTGTATCCTGAGACTTTGCTGAAGTTGCTTATCAGCTTAAGGAGATTTTGGGCTGAGACAATGGGGTTTTCTAGATATACAATCATGTCGTCTGCAAACAGGGACAATTTGACTTCCTCTTTTCCTAATTGGATACCCTTTATTTCCTTCTCCTGCCTAATTGCCCTGGCCAGAACTTCCAACACTATGTTGAATAGGAGTGGTGAGAGAGGGCATCCCTGTCTTGTGCCAGTTTTCAAAGGGAATGCTTCCAGTTTTTGCCCATTCAGTATGATATTGGCTGTGGGTTTGTCATAGATAGCTCTTATTATTTTGAAATACATCCCATCAATACCTAATTTATTGAGAGTTTTTAGCATGAAGTGTTGTTGAATTTTGTCAAAGGCTTTTTCTGCATCTATTGAGATAATCATGTGGTTTTTGTCTTTGGCTCTGTTTATATGCTGGATTACATTTATTGATTTGCGTATATTGAACCAGCCTCGCATCCCAGGGATGAAGCCCACTTGATCATGGTGGATAAGCTTTTTGATGTGCTGCTGGATTCTGTTTGCCAATATTTTATTGAGGATTTTTGCATCAATGTTCATCAAGGATATTGGTCTAAAATTCTCTTTTTTTGTTGTGTCTCTGCCTGGCTTTGGTATCAGAATGATGCTGGCCTCATAAAATGAGTTAGGGAGGATTCCCTCTTTTTCTATTGATTGGAATAGTTTCAGAAGGAATGGTACCAGCTCCTCCTTGTACCTCTGGTAGAATTCAGCTGTGAATCCATCGGGTCCTGGACTCTTTTTGGTTGGTAAGCTATTGATTATTGCCACAATTTCAGATCCTGTTATTGGTCTACTCAGAGATTCAACTTCTTCCTGGTTTTGACTTGGGAGAATGTATGTGTACAGGAATTTATCCATTTCTTCTAGATTTTCTAGTTTATTTGCGTAGAGGTGTTTGTAGTATTCTCTGATGGTAGTTTGTATTTCTGTGGGATCGGTGGTGATATCCCCTTTATCATTTTTTATTGCGTCTATTAGATTCTTCTCTCTTTTTTTCTTTATTAATCTTGCTAGCGGTCTATCAATTTTGTTGATCCTTTCAAAAAACCAGCTCCTGGATTCATTAATTTTTTGAATGGTTTTTTGTGTCTCTATTTCCTTCAGTTCTGCTCTGATTTTAGTTATTTCTTGCCTTCTGCTAGCTTTTGAATGTGTTTGCTCTTGCTTTTCTAGCTCTTTTAATTGTGATGTTAGGGTGTCAATTTTGGATCTTTCCTGCTTTCTCTTGTGGGCATTTAGTGCTATAAATTTCCCTCTACACACTGCTTTAAATGTGTCCCAGAGATTCTGGTATGTTGTGTCTTTGTTCTCGTTGGTTTCAAAGAACATCTTTATCTCTGCCTTCATTTCATTATGTACCCAGTAGTCATTCAGGAGCAGGTTGTTCAGTTTCCATGTAGTTGAGCGGTTTTGAGTGAGATTCTTAATCCTGAGTTCTAGTTTGATTGCACTGTGGTCTGAGAGATAGTTTGTTATAATTTCTGTTCTTTTACATTTGCTGAGGAGAGCTTTACTTCCAACTATGTGGTCAATTTTGGAATAGGTGTGGTGTGGTGCTGAAAAAAATGTATATTCTGTTGATTTGGGGTGGAGAGTTCTGTAGATGTCTATTAGGTCCGCTTGGTGCAGAGCTGAGTTCAATTCCTGGGTATCCTTGTTGACTTTCTGTCTCGTTGATCTGTCTAATGTTGACAGTGGGGTGTTAAAGTCTCCCATTATTAATGTGTGGGAGTCTAAGTCTCTTTGTAGGTCACTCAGGACTTGCATTATGAATCTTGGTGCTCCTGTATTGGATGCATATATATTTAGGATAGTTAGCTCTTCTTGTTGAATTGATCCCTTTACCATTATGTAATGGTGTTGTCTCTTTTGATCTTTGTTGGTTTAAAGTCTGTTTTATCGGAGACTAGGATTGCAACCCCTGCCTTCTTTTGTTTTCCATTTGCTTGGTAGATCTTCCTCCATCCTTTTATTTTGAGCCTATGTGTATCTCTGCACATGAGATGGGTTTCCTGAATACAGCACACTGATGGGTCTTGACTCTTTATCCAATTTGACAGTCTGTGTCTTTTAATTGGAGCATTTAGTCCATTTACATTTAAAGTTAATATTGTTATGTGTGAATGTGATCCTGTCATTATGATGTTAGCTGGTTATTTTGCTCATTAGTTGATGCAGTTTCTTCCTAGTCTCAATGGTCTTTACATTTTGGCATGATTTTGCAGCGGCTGGTACCGGTTGTTCCTTTCCATGTTTAGCGCTTCCTTCAGGAGCTCTTTTAGGGCAGGCCTGGTGGTGACAAAATCTCTCAGCATTTGCTTGTCTGTAAAGTATTTTATTTCTCCTTCACTTATGAAGCTTAGTTTGGCTGGATATGAAATTCTGGGTTGAAAATTCTTTCCTTTAAGAATATTGAATATTGGCCCCCACTCTCTTCTGTCTTGTAGGGTTTCTGCTGAGAGATCCGCTGTTAGTCTGATGGGCTTTCCTTTGAGGGTAACCCGACCTTTCTCTCTGGCTGCCCTTAACATTTTTTCCTTCATTTAAACTTTGGTGAATCTGACAATTATGTGTCTTGGAGTTGCTCTTCGTGAGGAGTATCTTTGTGGCGTTCTCTGTATTTCCTGAATCTGAACGTTGGCCTGCCTTGCTAGATTGGGGAAGTTCTCCTGGATAATATCCTGCAGAGTGTTTTCCAACTTGGTTCCATTCTCCCCATCACTTTCAGGGACACCAATCAGACGTAGATTTGGTCTTTTCACATAGTCCCATATTTCTTGGAGGCTTTGCTCATTTCTTTTTATTCTTTTTTCTCTAAACTTCCCTTCTTGCTTCATTTCATTCATTTCATCTTCCATCCCTGATACCCTTTCTTCCAGTTGATCGCATTGGCTCCTGAGGCTTCTGCATTCTTCACGTAGTTCTCGAGCCTTGGTTTTCAGCTCCATCAGCTCCTTTAAGCACTTCTCTGTATTGGTTATTCTAGTTATACATTCTTCTAAATTTTTTTTCAAAGTTTTCAACTTCTTTGCCTTTGGTTTGAATGTCCTCCCGTAGCTCAGAGTAATTTGATCATCTGAAGCCTTCTTCTCTCAGCTCGTCAAAGTCATTCTCCATCCAGCTTTGTTCCGTTGCTGGTGAGGAACTGCGTTCCTTTGGAGGAGGAGAGGCGCTCTGCTTTTTAGAGTTTCCAGTTTTTCTGTTCTGTTTTTTCCCCATCTTTGTGGTTTTATCTACTTTTGGTCTTTGATGATGGTGATGTACAGATGGGTTTTTGGTGTGGATGTCCTTTCTGTTTGTTAGTTTTCCTTCTAACAGACAGGACCCTCAGCTGCAGGTCTGTTGGAATACCCTGCCGTGTGAGGTGTCAGTGTGCCCCTGCTGGGGGGCTGCCTCCCAGTTAGGCTGCTCAGGGGTCAGGGGTCAGGGACCCACTTGAGGAGGCAGTCTGCCCGTTCTCAGATCTCCAGCTGCGTGCTGGGAGAACCACTGCTCTCTTCAAAGCTGTCAGACAGGGACATTTAAGTCTGCAGAGGTTACTGCTGTCTTTTTGTTTGTCTGTGCCCTGCCCCCAGAGGTGGAGCCTACAGAGGCAGGCAGGTCTCCTTGAGCTGTAGTGGGCTCCGCCCCGTCGGAGCTTCCCGGCTGCTTTGTTTACCTAATGAAGCCTGGGCAATGGCGGGCGCCCCTCCCCCAGCCTCGCTGCCGCCTTGCAGTTTGATCTCAGACTGCTGTGCTAGCAATCAGCGAGACTCCGTGGGCTTAGGACCCTCCAAGCCAGGTGTGGGATATAATCTCGTCGTGCGCCGGTTTTTAAGCCTGTCGGAAAAGCGCAGTATTCCGGTGGGAGTGACCCGATTTTCCAGGTGCCGTCTGTCACCCCTTTCTTTGACTCGGAAAGGGAACTCCCTGACCCCTTGCGCTTCCCAAGTGAGGCAATGCCTCGCCTGCTTCGGCTCACGCACGGTGCGTGCACCCACTGACCTGTGCCCACTGTCTGGCACTCCCTAGTGAGATGAACCCGGTACCTCAGATGGAAATGCAGAAATCACCGTCTTCTGCGTCGCTCACGCTGGGAGCTGTAGACCGGAGCTGTTCCTATTCGGCCATCTTGGCTCCTCCCTCGGAAACATATCTTAAAGGTAATGTTTAAAGCATTTTTTGGCTGTGTGTGGTGGCTCACGCCTGTAATCCAAGCAGTTTGGGAGACCGAGGTGGGCAGATCATGAAGTCAGGAGATCAAGACCATCCTGGCTAACACAATGAAACCCTGTCTCTACTGAAAATACAAAAATTAAAAAAAAAAATAGCCGGGTGTGGTGGCATGCACCTATAGTCCCAGCTACTCAGGAGGCTGAGGCAGGAGAATCCCTTGAACCTGGGAGGCAGAGGTTGCAGTGAGCCAAGATCGCACCACTGCACTCCAGCCTGGGTGACAGATTGAGGCTTCATCTCAAAAAAACAAAAACCCACAAAAACCAAAAAACAAAAAAAACCCATTTTTCTTATTAAAATTTGGTTTGTGTTATCAGACAAGAAGTGAAAAAGCTTCTCATTGCCTCTCCTCTGAAGTGAGATAATGATATTCCAGTTACCACTGCAATTCTGCTTTTCTATTAATTTGCTCATCGTGCCTTTCCATTATTAGTATTAGTAATGGCATTTGCCAGTCTTCCTACATGTATAAGACTATAACCCTGTCTGTTTTCTGAAATAATAAATTGCTAAACCACAGCTTCAATACCTTCAGTGGACATTTTCGGAGAGCATTCCTTCATCCATGGGCTATCTCTGGTTCTTTGGTTAACTACGCTTCAGCTTCACAGGGTGGGCTCTTGGAGGTCATCTTTATGTGCATCTTTATTTCTGTCTTTAGCCAGCGTTGTCAAGACACCTGATCTGCAACGGACCAGACACATTGTTTCTTTCAATGATTTGGCTTTGAAACTAGACCTCTAGTTACTTCATGTGGCTGAACATGTAGACCTGGAGGCCAGAGGCTGCCATGAGTCATGGGTGAGGAGTGGAGAAAGGCCTGTCTGCAGAGAGAGAGAGAGAGAGGAAGGGAGTAGACGGTAGAAAGAAGCCAAGATGCAGTTTAGAGAGATTAGAAGACAGCTGACCTCCAGGATGCTTCCTGGTGTGCAGTCCAGTTGCATTCTTGGCCTTCAGTTTCATGAAGAATTCTCCATCTATATAACTAATGCTGTTTTCATTTAACGTAGCAGAGAAGCATCCAAACACCTTAAAGACTCCTGGTTCTCATCAGCGATGATCTCAAATCAAGTGCACAAGTCCACTGCCATCACCCACAGGCCCCTGCCACTCCTTTGTGGCCTTCTGTTATTCTATTGCTGTTCTATTTTTATGCAGTGAAACTCAATCTCCATGTGTGTTTCAACCAGTTAAATTTTTGTTAACATTTGGAACACCGAACGGTTCATTTTCTTTAGTTATGTAAATTTGGAATTAGTCTAATTTTATAGTTGTGCTGAACGTTTAAGAAATAATTGATTAATTCATTTATTTCTAACCCAGGTTTTGAGGGATGTCTCTAAATCTGTGAAGAATATTTGAAATGGTTTGTGCTAACTCATGTTTAAGAAAGATTATCATTAGCAAACTAACAAAGCAACAGAAAACCAAATGCTGTTATGTTCTCACTTCTAAGTGGGAGCTAAATTATGAGAACACATGGACATATAGAGGGAAATGACAGACACTAGGGACTATTAGAGGGTGAAGGGTGGGAGGAGGGAGAGGATCAGGAAAAATAACAGATGGGTACTGGGCTTAATACCTGTGTGATGAAATAATCTATACAACAAACCCCTATGACACAAGATTACCTATGTAACAAACCTGCACATGTACCCCTGAACTTAAAATAAAAGCTTAAGAAAGAAAAAAGTGATGTAATGTTTCTGGTATCAATTGAGATAGAATCTCAGAGCAAAGGAAATCACTGCTTTGGTCTGGCTCAGAAACTGGTCCTTGAGGATGATCCACAGAAATTTCCCAAAGTATTTTCCCGAGAACTCTTGTTTTCAAGGATGTTAATGGTGTAAGGAATAAAGGCATTGCATGTTCAGACATGCTGTGCTGCAATACTGAATTTAAAGAGAGTTAAGCTCTTTTCTTCATTAAATAATTTTTTTCACAAGCGATTTTATATAATGATATATATTGTGATTCTCTAATCTGTGTATAGTTTAGTAATTCCTAAACTAATTAACCATGGAATCTTTTTTCTGTAGAGAACATCTTTTGGGACTAGTGTTCCTTGGAACATGTTATGGAAACCATCCTCACAGGGTTAACAGGGATTACATGCCGGGTTCTCGACAGAAATACAGTTATAATTATGTATTAATCAGGTTGTACTTTGGCCCTCTTCCTTGTAACCAAAAGTCATGTATCACTAAATACTGACCATTTGCATTCCCACTGGTCTTATAGATAGGATCACTGATGTTAGAATTATAAGGCTTTATATTTAAGAATTGCTTAAGATGTTCTTCAGATCTTGAATTCCAGTGGAATGACTGATGCCAACCAATTTATAGACCCCCACAGAGCAACCGCATCAGTGTAAGAATAAGTTTTTTCATCTCTCTCTCTCATGACTTCACTCTACACTCTTCAACTAATTAACAGTCCTCACACCTCGGTCCCCTGCAAATCCTTTAAAATCCTTAGAACCAGCTCCTTGGAGAGGTGGAGTTGAGGTTCTCTTCTACCTCCCCATTCAGTTCTTTCTCTGCTGCCATCCTCAATGTCTTGGATGTTGACTTGCTGCCCACCAGGCAAACAAACATATAACCTTTGTTGTGTATTCTTCTAAGGGAAGTATTTGGGGAAGATTATGTTGCATAGTGTTGCTAGGCTTGCCCTGCTCTTTAACTGATTACATATAGCTTTTTCACTTGTAAATGATGCTAAAAGTCCTTTGAAATTATAGGTATTTATAGAAAATCAGATCAGCTTTTAGGTGACATTGGCAATAATAAAACCATAATACTAATGGCACTAATAGAACTGTTTCTCTACTGGGTGTTCTACAATTCAATTCAGTTCCGACACTATCTACCTGGAGTTAGTGTCAGATGTCACAAGTTAAAGGGCTGAACTCCACAAGACTGACCCCCCCAATTCAAATGCCAGTCACAAAGCCTGAGTTACCACTTGTGTTTTGACCGACCAGCTATAAATTGGGGTTTCTATGACCCCCCCTTCTCAGATTTGATAATTTGTTAGAATGGCTCACAGAATTCAGGAAAGTACTTATTTGTATTTACCAGTTTACTATAAAGGAAAACTCAGGAACAGCCAAACGGGAGAGTCGCATAGGGCAATATATAGGAGCTGGGGTGTGTATGTGCAGAGCTTCCATGATCTCTCCAGGGAGCTACCCTTCCAGTACCTCCATGTGTTTGCCAACCAGAAGCTCATCACATGTCAAGAGTTTTTATAGATCTTAATCTCTAGGTGTCCTTCTTCTTCCCGGATGTTGGTGGGAGGAAATGAAAGTTCCAGTTCTAATCACTTGGTCTTCCTAGTGACTAGCCCTATCCTGAGTCTATCTAGGGACCCCACTGCAAGTTACTTCATTAGCATAAACTCTGACAGGATCAAAAGGGGTTCCTTATGAATAATAAAAGCCATTCTTATCACTCAGGAAATTCCAACGGTTTTAGGAACTCTGTGCCAGGAACCTAAGGACAAAGACGATGTACATTTTTCTGCGATAGCACAGGCACATTTCAAGGGCACAACGATCACCCCTACTAGATTTCAAGCTCCTTCAAGTGTTTTATTTTTGAATCCCTACCACAAGGCCAGTTGATGTCAGTCAAGTTGGTTGGATTGAATTATTAATTTACTAAAGACTTAGAGCTGAATATTTCTTACTCTTTCAAAAATTAGAAGGTTGTGCATTTCTTTTTCCAACAACGGACTTCTTTTCTTTTAATACAACAAAGCTATCATTTGACTCACTCCATCATCCATCATGTGTACCATTTAAGTTCTCAGGGATACATTGCCAACGAGTACTTTATTCTTTTATAAATTTCTTTCACATTTAGTGATGTATCCATTATACCTTTTCTAAAGGAAAGAATGATAATTTTTTAGTTAGAGAAATCAAGTCTTTGTTTATGCACTAATATGAGAGTCTTAACAGACTATCAATACAATTCAATAAAATTGTGAGATAATGTAATGCAGAACGGTTCACTGTAAGAGTTTGTTGTTCTTATATTATTTATGGAATTGAGTCTGGTAGTATGAAAACAAGCTGGGCTAAGATTCTTTAGATTACATGAGTATTCATGCTCATAATGCATATAACATACACATTGCATTTTAATTTATGGGCTTAAGGGAACAGTGATTAAGTAGGAGAGAGAAGAGCTTTTTAAACACCTTCTGGGGAGTGATTGCTATTCTTTGCTGTCACAACTCCAATTATTCTTTCTTTCAAATGCTTATTCTCTTTCTTTGAGTTTTCCTGGTACAGGTGGCTGCCATTTGTAGAGCTATCAATTTTGCTGCCCCCTTTTAAGGCAGCTATTATTTATGCTAGTTCCTGCTTATCCTTCTTTTGATTCATTTAGACAAGAACAGCTACAAAACATTTTAAACAGCTTGAAAGAAAAGGTTAACTTTAAGGATCACATGTTATCATGCATAGCCTCCAAATAAAATGTTTAAGCCTGCTCCAGCACACCTCTCAAGGATTGTAACTTCAACATGCTTTTAATTTGAGCCACTCTTTTAGATGCCAGAAATGTGAGGATCAGCACCATCCCACCAGTGTAATGGCCGGCAAGGCTGTCTTGTGTGGTGGCTGAAAACATAAACTCGGTTAGAGAAAGGATTTCTTTTCTTTTCAATCTTTGAAAGTGTGAAACTTGTGTCATTCAGGATGGCTGTTTTCCTTCTGTTAATTGTTGTTGTGTATTTTACTCTTCCAAATCATTGGTTTAAAGTTTGTATGTTAGAATTAATGGCAGGTTTTGTAGTCTGTTAAACCATAAATTACCACTCCTTGTCTTGGTACTGAAAGAGATTACTTAGCCATTCACAATTTTCCATGGGATGTTCTCCAGATGTGTGCCATCTGAAGTCTTCTGACTTCTTTCTCCAGTGGACTAAGCTGGCCTCTTGTTGAGGCAACAAAGAACTGGAAAATATATACATCAATGTTAAAACATGCGGGCCCTCAGACAATGTTAAGATGCCTTCGCACTTTCACTGAGTCCATTTGCGTTTCCTAACAATGCCCCTACTGTGGTGAGCAAGTGCCTCTGCTGTACTTACTCTCCTTTATGTATAATTTTATGCTAATCCTTGAATTGTTCAAGAAGCCTTTAATAGTCAGCTGTCTTTCTCTGTCTTTTGAGGTATCAAGTAATGTTACAACTTGAAAATCCCATAGATGTGGGCAATTGTGTCTTTAAACAATTCTGGCTCATTGGGTTTTCTAACATGCTACGTGTTAAGGATGTAGTTTTTCCAGTCCATCCTGGAATACTGCGGGGATTCTCAATTTCAAAGTAGCCCAAAGGAGATGGCCATTAAGACAACGTTGCTGCTAATCCAATTTCCCATAATCTCAAACTCTATGCAAAAGCAAATGTTGAACCTGTAGCTGAACTCAGTCTTTTGAATACCAAACCAAGACCCATAATGTATTATCTTAACCATTTTGGGGGAAAGCTGATTGTTTGCAAAATATCTTTGGGTTGCCATTAGTTTGGGTTTAATCCTTTAGAAATATTCAGCGCTCAGGCCTATTCAAGCTCTCAGAGAACTGGCTCATCACAGCAGCTCAGCTTGGCCTGTGAGATTGCTTGTGTACTTAGACTCCACTTATTTTGTTCAGGTTCACGATCAGGCGAGACAGCGCTGTCAATTCAAAAAGACATTCTTTTTTCAAACTATTGATCTCCATTGCTCTTGCAAATCCTTTAGTATTGGCTCTCAGGATTACTATAATGCTATAATCATTCTGTTAAGGATTCAGATTTGTGGTGGGCTAAAAGATGGGAACATCAAAAGGATTGAAATGCCCTTGAAGCAATCAATTTTTGTTCATCAAATACAAATGCTGAGAGGCTGCTTTCAGCTAATAATTTATAACTGAATTAATGACACATGGCTTCCTTCAGTCTTTTCTTCTAGGATCCTTTCCCTCCTTCTCTTAAATGTTCTGGTTTTATTTTCTGCAAAGTGAATTTGAATTGCATAATGTTCTAAACAAGAAGAATGCTATGGGAAGTAAAGCTTGTTTCACTTGCTTTCAAACTGTTAAGGCAGTAGAAATCTTTTCTTTCTTTGGGCTTTAAAGGAAGGCAAAGTCTAACACCATATCTGTTCTACTTTCCCTAGTAACAAAAAATGCACTTGTGGTTTATGTGTGAGTAACATTCTAGCAGAAGCTTCCACCAGCAGAAAACGTTTCTGTTAAAACCACGAATGCTGTCATGTGGCTCACTTACTTTTGCACAAAACAATTCCAACAGACAAAAGTTTATTTATAATATGTAACAAAATCATGTTATAGCCAAGGCAGTCTTTTCTTTAGTATTAATAAGTATAATTTACACATCTCTGTTAAGGTAGTGATTAAATGATTGAACATTTAAAAAGCTATAACACCTTTTAAGTTACTTTCATTTGCTCTCTTCTCTCATCCTCTTCTATTTCTCTAAGTGAGAATGCAAATGTTTATTTTTTGGGCTGTGAGGTAACCTTCCAGTGGGAGCACTGAATGTCTGCACACTTTCATGTGCCCAGCCAGCTTTGGAATTAATCGACACCTAAGAGCAAGGCTCTAAATGGGATGTGAGTGTGAAGAGCAGAATGCAAAAGAGCGTATAGAAGCCCCCCAAAGCTTATGGATTTGGTTTCTCATATGTGGAAATTTTTATTATTTAGGAGAAAACTGAGTTAAAAATTTTCTTAAAATCTCAGTACATTAAAATTTAAAATTAATAGTGTGCACAAAATTGTGGAGGAGTAAATTAGTTGAGAAAAAATGGTTTTTGAATGTTTTAGAAGTATTTATTTACATGTACACATTGAATTCCTAATTATATATTAATCGGTCTTATTTTTGATTACTTTGTCAAGTTAGTTTTGCTATATCAGTTTGAGTTATGATCATATTTTGAAGTGATAAAACAGGAGGTGGGGGAGGGGGAATGAAGAGAGTTGATTAATAGGTACAAATATACAATTAGATAGAAGAAATAAAGCCTAGAGTTTGAGAGATCAGTTTAATGACTACATACAATAATCTATTGTATATTTCAAAATAGGTAGAAGAGAATAATTTGCATGTTTCTAGCATAAAGAACAGACAAATATTTAAAGTGATATATATCCCAGTTATACTGATTTGATTTTTACAAATTACATGAATGTATAAATTGTCACTTGTATCATCAAAATATGTACATCTATTATGCATCAATTAAAAAATAAAATTATTTAAAAGTTAAAACAATACTAAAAATAGTCTTTAATGAAGAGTTACTAACTCACATCTTTTGCCCCATTTCATCCTAATTTTGGTTCAAATGAGGACAAAAAATACTTAGTGGATGCCTCCTATACCGTTGTTAAGTTTCCAGTGCCCAGTGCTGAGCCTGGCATATGGTAGACATTCAGAAAATATTTGTTCAAAGAATGAAAGCTGTTCTTTGTGTAGATCTTGGATATGAATCAAAACATTGCAAGACTTTGAGTCAATGTATTATTTTGGATTTCCTGGTCACACAGATTCAAAGAAAACTATCTTTAAATGTTTTGAAAGTGTTGGTATGTCTCAGTTTTCTTATAAGAGTGGATGAAAATTCGTAAAGACACAGCTATGTCATCTTTGCCTTTGGGCAAGAAGAAAGTGAAAGCTGAAGAATACCCTTGAGAACAATGTGAGAAGAGAAACTTTAAGTCCTGCTTTTTGAACTTTAATAAAAATCACTTTACTTGAGGAGAGTATTTTTAACTTTTCAAAGTTTGTGAGTGATGTGCCCATTCCTGTTGCTGCCAATTTAATATCCTTCTAAGGACTGGTCTCAAGTCCTAGTTTCAAAATTTTGCATTGTCTGAGTCAACACCCACTTCCAGGTATCTTTAATTTAATGCTGATATTTATATTTGTACTTTCTCCAGGTTATTTTTACAAAGCTTTCTATGAAGCTTATTTTTTAAATTTTCCATAGCTTTTAACACCGTTGAGAGAAAGTCATATCTTTAGTTTCTTTGCTTGCCCTGAGTTTCTCAGTGTTGTCTGCCTTAATCTTTGTAAACTCAGATCTATCTAGGGCCATGGCAGAATGTTTGTTATCCCTCATGTCATGTGGTATTTATCTAGCTGCAGCAGTAATACTGTTGGTATTTGGAAATAAATACCAGGCAACTTGTTTTAAATACCCTGGCACTTTTATGCAGGTGTTGAGGGTAAGAGAGAGCTTCCTATCTTGGAATAACTGAGTTATCATCTTTAAACAGAGACTGTGTTTGTTACTAATGACACTTAAGACCTTAGTACACGCAGGTGTATGTGACACAGAGAGAGAGTTTTGGTGTGTGGGGTGTGTGTGTGTGTGTGTGTGAGAGAGAGAGAGAGAGAGAGATATTGACTCTGCCTGCTGTCCTGGGGTCAGACAGACTACTAAGTGGCAACAACATATATAGATTAATTATCTGTTAGAAACTGGCACAATAGGAAGTGATGTTTTTCTTCCTTTATAGCAAGAACCATTGCTTCCTGATTCATTTTTCACCCATTCCAAATACACATACAACTCATTAGAAATGAAGAAAAACATACACGAGGAATGTGTAATTTTTTTTTTTTTTAAGCTGCAAGATGCCTCTTTCTTATTTACTTATATTTATTTATTCCCCTGCTGGGGCAGCAAACTGTTAAAGGTGACTTTAACCTGAAACATGGTTTCACAAAATGGAGTTAACTCTCTCATCCTAACACAGTTTCAGAGAGTGGATAGTGTTGGAAAAGTAACATTCACTCTGTAAGCCAGTGGATATTAAGCCTCACTTTCCAGGTCTATGTGACCCTGGTTTTTGGGCCCAGACCCTTGCATGCTACAGGCACCATCTAGACTTGGTACATTTAGCAGCATTTAGTGGTATAATTGTAAATAATAAATAAAACGTGATGCATTTTAAATGAAAGTCTAATGTGACCTAAATGGAACTGAACAATCTATTAAATTGCATAGACGTCGTGTGCTTGGTTCATTTATGGCAAACATTGTGTTACTCTGTCCCTTGCACATATATTTTATTTAATTAGGGTGGGAAAGAGGGAAAACTGAAAGTACTTTTTCTTTTCTAGTCTGAAGATTTTTCAACCCTGTGATAATTGAAAACATAATTCTGCTCAGGAAAATAAAATGATTTCCTCCTAATACTAAAGTATTCCATCTTTATTATTTTTCCTTTGTCTTTCTCATTTAGAAGGGAAAAAAGATGTGATTTTGTCGATTAATCCAGAGAATGTTTAATGACATTTCACTTCATAAAATCAGTGTGTTGGCTTTTTCAAGTTTCAAGGAACAACAAATTCTGTGACTTCAGATGGTGGGGGGTTTCTAAGGATCCATGAGAAAGTAAGGAAGCCAAGAAGCTGCCTCAGGTTTGGAGAGCCAGGCGAAGGTTTGGAGTTCCAGTGAAGACTGGAACATCTTCCAGAATAACATGGCAGCTCTACTGGTTGCACATTTCTGCGGCTCAGCCTTTCCCTTTTCCTTTTCTATCTGCTCTCTCTTCATTTTTAACCAGTGAGTCCTCTGACTGTATGTCTCATGGGATCGTCATCAGTTGATGAGGTGTCACCTAGTTTGGTACACAGCTGAGGGAATTTATTCCTCCTGCCAAAGTATTTGATGGGCTCTGGGGTTCCAAATATAACCAGGGCTGGCTAAGGTAGCAGGGTCACAGGGAACAAAGCAAGCATGGCAGCCTGTACCATGGGAGAGCAGATGTGAAAGTGCATCGTAAATTACAAATCTCTTTAAGTATTGTGAAATATATACCTACTTATTATTGATTATACTATATATTATAGCTAATATATTAATCACAAATAGATATGAATACATTATTAATATGTGTTAATAAAGATGTATATTATAGCATCCTCTACAATGCATATTACCACTCTGTGTTCTTCAATGTAATCACTGAGTTAATCATGCCTGGCAAATGTAAGCTTTCACTGCGTGTTGCGATAATTTGCAGAGGAGTCTATGATGTTCTGCTTATCATGCTCATGCCTCTGTAAGAGCAAAGAAATGCCTCAGATATAAATGGGGTCAGAGCACACACTTTTCTAGCCCTGTAGAATTGTTGTAAGGCTCAAATCAGTTATTTTATGTGGTTTGAAAAGGGTTGACTATTACTCTACACATCTAAGGAATTATTATTAGATACATGTTCAAAAAGATTTAGCAAAAATTGTAAAAAAGGAAAGAGTGGACTTTGGAAAATTTGTTTCTATGTTTTTGGAAACTGTGCTTAAGTTTTGAAAAGCTTATTCTGTAGGTAGTTGGATAGTTTGAATAGCTCTAGTATCTGAATGTAAATACATGAGCATATTGCTCATCCCAATAGCTGAGAATAAATAATGTTTTGATTCCTGTAAATGGAAATTATTTATCCAAGCAGGAGCAGAAAAGGACTAAATCATGTTTCCACTGGAAAGAGTGAGAACTCATTAAAGATAAAAGGTATAGTCAAATGGAGAGGATAAGGAAGAGGCAGAAAATGATTCAGGGTGGGTGGACAGATAGCAGATAGGCATGAATCAGAGAGGGTTTGGGGAGAGCAGGAGGCTTCCCGTATGGAGGCCATGGAGAGTGGGAGAAGGAAACTAATTTTAGGAAGAAGTGGTTGCTGAGGGCAGCAGAACAGATGGACAGAAATGACCTCAGTCCTTGTTAACATAACTGACACAACAGTCTGGACTTCCTGTTAGATGAGATACTTTATTATGTAACACAGTTTGAGTTGATGTTACTTGTAGGCTGAATAATTCTTTTAAAGCTGCTTCTCAAGGCTGATTCTTTGGCAGACAGTAAATGTGGTTTTAACTAGAATAAACTGATTCTGGTTGTATCTGCGGAGAATACTTTTATTTTCGGCAAGTGATGTGGTCACCTGTATGACCCTGATTGACCTATATTGACCTCTCCAACTTAAAGGGAAAATTATAATAATGCCTGTATTGCAACATTATTTCAAGAATTAAGTGATATCATACTGTGAATTCACTGTGGAAATTCTGAAGTGCCCTATGGTGGTAAATGATAAGAAATAAGAAAACTGTCTTTCCATTGCTCTTCTCAAATATGCTTTCAGAAGCACAATGCAACTTTTCCCACTTTTTTTTCTGTCAATTACGTTAGTGATCTAAATGATAGGGAATATATATTTTTCTTCAAGAACCTCAGTGAGTGCTAATTTGAATAAAAACAAAACAAAATACATTATGAATATTTTTATTTTTTTCTGAACTTGGGTGTAAGTTCTTTGAAGTGCCTTACTCATATCTGGCACTCAAATTTGTTGTTTAATTGGCACTTTCTGAAAACAGTATTTTAAACCAGGGGTGGTAAGTAGATTTAATCTCATGTGTCAACTGCTACTTATTTATGTGGATTCTGAAGAGCTATGCTGAGAATTCTGAAGCCATGTCTGGACTCAGTGTAAAAGAATGCTGTAATCTAATAGTGATGTCTGTCACTGACATGGAAAAGGAACTGGAGGAATTCCTGCTCATATTAATTACCCTTATCTTAACCTAAGAATATATCACTTAAATGAAGGAAATGGTGAGCTCCCTGGAGGCCAGTTATGTTTTCATATGAAGGTTAGTGGCTTCTCTTCTTACGGGTACGCCAGCCTTGCAAGGACAGCATTTTCTATTATTATCGGGGTGTGTGTGTGTGTGTGTGTGTGTGTATGTGTTATGTGTGTGTTTCAGGCAATACTTTTAGAAATTGTAGTGGACACATATGAGGTTAGGTTCAATCTCTGTGGGAATCCCCTTTTTACCATAGTAAATATAAGTAATATGTAAACATAATAATATAAATAAGTAAATATAATAAATATCAATTACAATGGCAGGCAGAATTCTAAGATGAAACCCAAGATTTCCACCTGCTGGCGCCTACACCCTGTATAATCCCCTCTCCTTGAGAGTAAACAGGACCTATGATTATGATGGAGGGCCACTCTCATGATTACAAAATTTTGCAGATGTAATTATGGACCCAAATTAGTTGATTGTGGGAGATTATCTTGGGTGGGTTCACTTTATTTAAATAAAATTTATTCAAACTTGCAGGTGTAATTAAGGACCCAAGTCAGTTGATTCAAAGGGAGGTTATCTTGGGTGGACCCAATTTATTCAAATGAAAGCCTTTAAAAGAGGGATTGGACCCTTTCTGAAAAGACAGATGCTTCTGCTAGCATTATGGAAGTCAGCCTCAGTGTTGCAATGGGGCCTGTGAGAGAGCTACATTACTGGGAACTGATGGAGCCTTTAGTTGCTGAGAGCAGTCTTATATAACAACCAGCCAGAAAGAAGGGACCTCAGTCCTACAATCCAAAAAATATTAATTCTGCCAACAGCTATGAGAGCTTGGGGAAACACAGTATGGTCTACACCTAGATTGCCACCTTGCATGACTCTGAGCAGAGGACCAGCTAAGCCATGCCTGGACTTCTAACTTATGGAAACTCTGAGATAATAAGTATGAGCTTTTTAAGCTGGTAAATTTGATGTAATTTGTTATGCAGCTACAAAACCTAATGCAATTGCTATTAAATCATAAATGATAGAGGTGAAAATGAAAGAAACAAAAAGCTTGAGAGAGATAAATAAGTATGGACTTCAAGTTTGTAAAGAGAAAAGCATGGCTTATGTTCATTCTCGTTTACAGATGAATACTGTCCCCTCCACTCCACTGGGTACATTGATTTGTCCCTTTCCCAGGTGTCAGAGCAGCATGCAGCCCATAGAGTAGCTTGCAATCATGTTAGGACACAAAAAATGCACTTCTGGGTCATCTAACAATTATTCATTATTTGTTCTAAGAATAACATGATAACATTAACAGAAGAAAGTAAACGGCTTCTCTTTCTACCTCTACAAATATAACTATTTATTTTTCCATGTTTCCCTTCAATTCGTGTCATATGTGAACAAAATATCTGAGATATGTATTGCATAGACACAATTTTGTATTCTTTAACATTATATGATGGTCATTTTTCACACTGCTACCTGATCTTCAATGTTTTTAATCATTGAATAATCTTTTATTGAGTTGTGTTAAAATTTTCATAATCATTTTCCTATTGTTGGGCATTGGGATGATTCCTTTGTAAATTTTTACTCCTGCTACTGTAAATAATGCTTATTTTTGCTACCAAAGTTAACATTTTCCTACATACGTCCTTTTCTAATGATCCCATAATGTTCTTAAGATGTGTTTCTAGAAGTGGGATTACTGGCTTGAAGATATAAACATCTCTGAACCTAATTGTTTCCCCCAAATTTTGCTAAAGTATACTCCTTATAGCAGTGTGAATTGCTCTTTGTTTATTCATTTCAGGCTCATCTTGACAGATTTAGGAATTCTCTTTCTTAATGTCTGGCCATTTAATTTTTTTAAAATCGGCTTTACTGAGGTATAATATATCCAATAAAATGTACTCATATACAATTCCGTTAAGCCTGACAATTACATATATCCGTGTAACTACACCACAATCAAGCTATGAAACATTTCCATTGCTCCCCTAGATTTTCCTGTATTCCTTAGCAGTCAATACACTCCCTACCCTGGCCCCATGCAAAAACTGATCTGCTTTCTGTAAATTAGTTTTTCCAGTTTTACCAGAATTTCATGTAAATGGAATCATACAATCTGTACTTTTTTGTGTCTGTCTTATTTTGTCCAGCAAAATATTTTTGAGATTTACTCATGTTGTGTGTATCAGTAGTTTGCTTCTACATATTACCAAGTAGGATTCTATTGTAGGATATACCATAATTTGCTTATTCATCAGCTCACCTGCTGTTGAACAGTGGAGCGAGTCTAGCTTTGGGTTATTCTGAATAAAGTTGATCTATATATTTTGACATAGTTTTTGTTGTAGGCATATGTTTTCATTTCTAGGGAGTAAATACCAAGGAGGAGGACTGTTGGATCATATGAAAAGTACATACTTAACTTTGTAGAAAACTGTCAAATTATTTTTCAAAGTAGCTTAACCAATTTACATTTCTACCAGTCATGGATGAGAGTTCCAATGGCTCCACATCTTTGCCAACACTTGGTATTGTCAGTCTTTTTAATTTTAAGTATTCTAGGGGTGTGAACTGGTATCTCATTTTAGTTGGCCGTTAGTTTTGATACACTCTTTTCATACAGGTTTTGGGTAAAAATAGGCCATAAAATTTAATATCTACTATTGTAGTGAAAATAATGGAAAATTGAAGAAGCCAAAGAAAAATTATGTGTTACAGAGGAACTGAAGACATTAGACTTTATCACATGAGATGATAGCATGAAGTATGGATAGTTTGATTTGTTTGAAATGAACAGACCCCTAGACATCCTTTGATGGGGCCACAGAGGCAGCAGCAGTATTGTGAGCTGCTTGAGAAAGGCTGAGACAGGCAGAGTGCCAGCATTTAGCCTGTAGAAGCAGGCAAACATTCCCGAGGCTGAATGATTACTTTTCTCACCGTGCTGATAGAGGTTGCATTAATAAATATAAAATTCTGCTTCTCCGGTTGACTCACTCTTTCACCTCCTAAACCCAGGAACAAAGGGGATGGAATTGAATATTTACCATTGTTGGACAATGAGCTCCCCTTCAGTTTCTGCTAAGAATTTGGTGTGCTGGGATAACATTTGGATTAGGTCTGTGAGAGTAGAAAGGACAAAGCCAGAATATTGGTTAACCTGAGCAGGGGTTAAGGAAAAAGCCAATACTCCTGAGTCAGCAATAATTATGCCCAAAGCTCTTGGCCTCTAATGTGCTTCATAGACAGTCAGGGGCTTATTCTTTAGTCTAAAATCTTTGCAAAAGCAATCCTGTATACTATCGAAATTAAGCATACTGATTTATGCAGAACTTGGTTAAATGTGTAGAGATATGTGGAGAACTTAAATTCAATTAGGTGATCCTTTAAAAAGAGGCATGAGATAATAAAAATGACAATATTCAACTTAGAAATTCTCAAAAACCAGTAATATGCCCATTCTTTGAAATGGCATCAGCACGTATGTGTGTGCTGACATACTTTGTATTAATAGAATGTCAGAAAGCTTACAACCTGAGAGAGATTTCAAAAAAATAGTGATTTTGAGCAACTTATCATCTCTGTTAGGGGACAAAATTCAACTAGTAACTGGAAGTGTGGATGAAATTGCTGCTCTGAGTTATTTGGACCACATCATTATCACAATCCACAAATATATTATTTTCCATTGATATTTGTTGATATCTTCACCAAAAAGGAATTTGAAGGGACAAATTTTATGTCTTGTCTCTGAAGGTTATAATCAAAGCACACAGATTTAATCTTGATCCATCCTCTATTCCTATTGAGACTAGATTTTCAAAATTCAATCAAGTGAATAACAAATTGTACTAATATTCTCAGATTTTATGAGACATGACCTTCTCCAAGTCATCTAAATAAAGATTTACAGGTCACTTGGTTTATAGCTCCAAAGTACAGTTTTTAAATTTCAGTGCTGGGCATGTAATGCTATAAACTAAATAATTATCTTAAAAAATGCAAAGCGTGAAGTACTTTGGAGATTACTGTTGCCACCAAATATATAACTTGAAACTTATGCCTTCAAGCAATGAGTACTTCAGAGAAGACTCCAGAGAGAATTAGACCCAGAATTCTCTTATGGAGCTTTGATACATTTCAAACACTACAAATGAAAAAGAATAGCATATTGAAAATGGAGATCATATGTATGGTGTAGCTTTTCCACAGAAATTCCTTTAAATAGAAAAAAAAATTGGCAATAAAGTATTATTCCTTCTAAATGAGAAATAGTACCATGATACATCAGTGGAGGCCTGGGTTACATCCAATATTGTCCATCTGTAGTAAAGAATATTATTCAGTGGTTGAAAAGAAAGTGGTAGACTTAACACACATTTACTTGGCAAGATTTCTAAGACACATTTTTAAGTGAACAATGCATGAAACAATAGTAGTATTCGCATGTATACAAAAAAGTCATGAAATATAATTGTGATATGAACATATATATATGTAAACACAAGACACAAACCAAATGACCAATTGAGGTTACTTCTAGGGAAGAAAGTAGATTTGTGTATATGTATGCATATGTGTATGAACATCTATGTTTTGTAGGTGGCATGGGAAGCGGTGAATTAGAAAGTAAAATATTTTGTTCTGTGAGAGACTTTCAGTTTGAATATTTACAAGACTACATTTAGGTATTGCAACAAACCACACTCTAAACAGGAAGAGATATGGTTTAATTAATTAGCTGCACAGTATTTTTAGTCAGTCTAAGGTTATAGCATAATACTGGCATATATCCAAAACGGTGGCATTTCCATCAATAGCACAATTAAAGACTGTTCTGGAATCAGGTTTATAATGCCAAAGCAATTCATTGAAGAAGGGAAAAAATACAGACCCAATTTAGTGGTAAGTCTACAGGTTGTCCTACTCTCCACTTTATCCTTATGCTGAGCACAGGTCTCAGCATAAAGCAATATTAGTTGAAGGAATGTTTTTGGTTTGTTGGAAACATGTTTTTTATGACTTAAAATGCAGATATGGAACAAATGATATTAATTTGCATATTAGAGACAGTATGAATTTTGCTACCCGGATTAATTCAGTTTCCTCAGCAAAGATAATCACATCGAGAACATTGGCAATGAGCCTCTGCAAAACAGAAGACTGCGAGAAACCAACATGGCATCCAGTTCCACACCAAATGGAAATTCTCTGGCATGACGATCGTATCCAACCTTCACTAGATGTCACATCTGGCGTCTTGAGCCATTCCCTCAGCATCGTCTACCAGCCGTACTTAACATGAAACACAAAGCAGGATCACCCACAATGTGCTTCTGGATCTCAGCCAGACTGCCTATCCTGTGGCAAAGCTGTCTGCAACACAAGATCTTTGGGGGTAGACATGCGGAGAATGGGTGGCAATGCAGGCTATGCACTGAGCTGAAATGGGATCACCACCAACAGGGTGGGCAGAAGAAACACTGCGGTTTAATATCAAATGATGGGCTGTGGAAGTGGGCTTCTGGGAAATCAGACACCTTGGCAACATTCCTTTGAGACTGATGATTCTGAAGGGAAAGAGAAAAACGAAGCAAAGAAACACTGAAGTTTTAGCTTTGGTTGAAGGAATATTAGTGAACAGGTAGAAGGCAAAATAGTTTGCTCATCAATGACTATCTTCATTAAGGTCATCACCATCACCAACAATAAGTTAGTTTTAGGCATAAAGTGATTTTGTACAGTTAATAGAGAATATGTCTGTAAATGTTACATTTATATGGAAAAAAGGTTTTCACATAGTCATGGTGTTTATGTAGGTTTAGACTCACAACTATGTCACATTTTAAAACTTTGGAAAATGATTCCATGTTCCAATGCAAAATGAAAACACGAGCCATCTGGAAATTATCAAAATGCTATGTAAAAGCAATGATGCCATTTACTGCATAGAATCAATTTAGCACACCAATAAAAACACACACACGTATAAGCCTAGAAAAAGCAGTTTATTCTTTTCCATAGAACTTTTCATTTAAATTCTGTTGCCATTGTTGTGCAGTAAATTTTGCTGTCACACAGCTATAGCTAAAGTGCTTTTTATTTGATGTAATCCTACTGCATCATTAAAATATCAATATTCTTTATGTTTTGCAAATATTTGTGGACACCGTTAAGCAACACGAAGCACAGTGCAGTAACAAATGTCCATTTTATGGCCACTGTCAGACTATATATTGTATAATGCCCCAATATTATCAGCAATCTAGACCTAAATTATCACAACCCTAAGTCCATGAAACACAAGACACATATATAATCTCCCTTAGTCCATGTATTGAAATGTTAGAATTAAAAGCTTCAGCTATCAATTCATGCATAAAATGTCGTTTTCCAGAAGAATTTTTCACTCAGGGCAAAAAAGGAGAAAAGGCAAAGGAATGAAGCTAAGGGCTGATTTTCTAGAACAAATCTAAACCTGAGAGAAGAGTTTCCCAAAGAGGAAACAGGTGAGAGGGGGAAATGGATGTACAAGTGGGAAAAGTTTTTCTTTTTTGGTCACTGTGTTTTATTCTTAATTGACAGAGACATTCAGATTTAGTAAACAATACTGCTTTTTTGATGTTAGAGATTTTCTCTCAACTCACAATTCTACTCAAGAGAAGAGAAGGATATTGATGTTTTAAGCTATGATGACAAATCACCCAAAACATATGGTTCATTGCAAATACAGAGCAAATAGTCTCTAAGTTGCTCAAGAATGCAGCCAGTAAAGATACACCAGGGAATTTGTCTGAGGTTGAGTCGAAATTGGAAATATTTTGTCATGTAATTAGGCAGAACTAGTATGGGATTTGTTGTAAACACACAGTGATTCAATTTGCTCTATGACAGAAACCTCATAACTTACTGTTAAATTGTTTCTTTTTTCTGCTAAATTTCTTTATCACTTCTGTAAATTGTAAAAGACAAATCACCTCCAACTGCCCATACATCTCTTGGTCTTCTTTTTGTAGAGCTTTGAAGGTGATGAAATAATCAATTTCATTGACTACAAATGATGATATTAGTCATAAGAAGTTGTCAGGACTCATAATGGTGAATGGGTCTAGGGGAGTCGAGTTGGTAGAATAATTTGACCTATTGTAGTTTCCTTCCTCATTGTGGTCCTGGACAGCAGTGGTTGCAGGGATAAGAGGGAGCTGCTGGATCTGGCTTCCAGAGAGACAGGCAAGGGAGAGAAAAAGATAAGCACATTTAAAAGCAAATGTTGACTTTCAAATGCACTTGTATTCAAGCAGTAAGGGCAAGTCGTTCCTAATCATGAAAGATATTTCAAAATCTCTTTCTGAACTATGCAGATCAAATGCACGTAATCTGCTTCCTAAAACTACTCTGCTATGCAGTGTTTTTATTTTCGATGAAGTCTCTTTATTGTAAATTTCAGGAATCTCTTTCAACTGAAGAGGTATATTCTTCTCTGGCAGAGGTAGCCTCACCTATTAGAATATTAATTTAAATTAACTTCCCCCCCTCAAGCATTTCTTAATATGAGTGCCAACTTAGAAGTTTGACTTTTACTCCATCATAAGTCAGGTTATTGGTATTGACAAAATTTGAGACAGAGGTCTAAGATGCCTTGATCAGCAACTCTGATTTAATAATAAAAAATTTGCAGATTTAGTTAGAGAATATTTTTTCTCCTATGAGGTAGATTGTGTTGTAGAAGAATTAAAGTGGGAATCATAAGATTTATATCTCTAAGCTAAAATGTAATTTTTGATAGATAAAATTTTGATTTGGGGTTAGAATATGTTGAAATAAAGAAATAGATTTTTATTCATGAAAATAAACAGAATTAGGATGTTTTTGAAGAATTAAAAATAAACAGAATTATGAATTATTTTAATTAAAAATATTTAAAATATGTTCAGATAAAGTAGGCAGATGTTAAAATTTCAATTTGAAGAGATTTCAAAACCAAGTATAAAATTGAGACATCAATCTAACTTCAGTTGTTTTTTGAAAATTCAAATAAAACTTTTTGGGAAGAGAGTTTTATTTATTTTCATGTAATTATGATACAAAATGGATGTGAATGTTAGACTATCAATTTTTTAAAAATTTATATCTCTTACCTAATTTCTATATCTTTCTATATTCAGTCTTAGCAGTGGTAAATGAAGGTAGGTTTTTTTAGATTGCTTTAAATAGTAGTTTATAAAACAAATTTTAAGTCTTATAATTAGCTTTGATTTTATCTGAATTGTCTCTTTTTTAAGGGCTTTTGCAATTTTATTCATTCCATTTTTCATGGGGCCTACATAGAATTATCTGAAGAACTCTCCTTCACTTTTTGTAGATATTTGGATGTCATATCTGTGGATATTTCGATGTCTTTATAAGTCATTTGAATTAGTTACAGGGACTTGAAACAAGCCACATGCAATTGGTGGATTTATTTCAAAATAATGCTTATTACAAAATGTAATGAGGCAATCATAAAAATAATGTTTCCATTTTTTATAACAGAATTCTAACGTTAGAATTGTATAGTTTCTGCATTATGTTTTTAAGTGGAAGAACAGAAAAATGCTTGTGCAAGGGTAGGTGAGTACATGTAAATGTGGGCACAAATATAAACATGGGTTTCTGGATGAATATATTAAAAATTTTAAGACAATTTTAGAAAAGACTAAGATGAATAGTGGTGAGAGGAAGAGGACGATTTTTACTTTTCATTTTATGCCCTTCTGAACAGTTGGAATTTTTTATGTGTGTTCTACTTTTGTTTTTAAAGCCAATGATGAAGATAAATCTGCTAGATTGAATTGTGTGCTATTTCTGTTTCCTTTATACTTTCCTGTGTGAATTATTTTTGGTTAATAAACTTTTTATACTTAAAAGAATTTAAACAAAACAAATATTAAAATTAAGCAGCTTTGTTACTTTGCTTTTAGGAACAGGCCAAAGAGCGATTACATATGGTCAAAAATATCTTTTAAATTAATTTTGTTGATTTTGAGTCACTTCTTGCTATAAAGTTTCATATCTGGATATTTTCACGTTCAGAAGTTTGCTTGAGTTAGAGTTTTTGTCTTTTCCATTGACATTTTAATGAAAAAATTGCTATTGAGAATTTTTGTGACATTGCTGAGTTGCCACTCACTGGTTAGGAAACTCACTGCCAGGTGGAAGTGGGATGTCATATAAAAGCCTATAGGGATTGCCTGTATTCGGTGTTCTTTTAGGAGATAGGATTTTCTCTATTGACATGGTTTCATTTGGAATTTTTTGTTTGCTTGACTTATTCTGATCTGACTTTGCATGCAATATGATAAGTCTGCAGTAGGCATCAAAGTGTCTTTCGGTTATAAAAATCAATTTGGACATAATGATGTATATTATTGTTTCTTGCCTTCTTCATTTCATAGTTATACTTTTAGTACTTGGAAAGAATATTGTTTAATTTTGCCATACACAGAAATATGGCCTTTTTTGGTATCAAAATGTCAACTTTCAAAGATAATATTTATTTATTGAAAGTAAGTTTTTTTTTTACTTTCAAGATATATTCTGCTTCTGGCAAATGGGACAGAATTATACAGTTCTAGCTTGTGTCTAAAATATGTCAAAACAGTCAGCTTAATTACATAATCATTTAAAACATTGTCAGGAGAGTTTTAGTTAAAACAATTTATGTGTTGAATATTCCTATTTTTAAGAACTTTTTCTGGCATTCCATTGAAGCAGTATTAAAATGTGTAAATAATAAGACATTTTCATATTAAATCTGCATTAACAATTAAAAATAAAATTATTATTTAAACTTATTTCTGTATCAGAATGCAGAAAATAATTAATGGAAAAATTTCATGTCATAAAGATAAGGATGTAGTAAAATTGTTACTTGGATTTTTAAGGCAAAAGATTGGTTTTAAGCTTATAGATGTCATGAGGACTTCCAGGATATATATATATATATATATGTATATATATATATATATACATATATACATATATATGTGTATATATATATACATGTATATATATATAAATACACACACATATATATACACACATATGTACATATATACACATATATGTATATATATAAATACACATATGTATATATATACACATACACATATATACATATATACATATATATCTTGTATACAATATTTTGTTATTGTTGTCATAAAAAGCCTTTGTAAAATAATGATGAACATATCAAATTTTATTTCAGGTTTATTTTCCAACACATTTTAATGGAAAATTATACATAGTCTTTCTGCTCTCTTCAGAACCATATGTCACTGTGTTATTTATGCATCTAATCATTACTATCAGAAATGCAAAAATATTTTCCCCAAAAGTGAAAGTTGAAGGCCATTTAAGTGCCGTATCACCAAGATTTTAAAAAACTATTATTTATTCCAATCTTAAAAGAAGTCTAGCTCTCTGATTGTTGGAAATGGCAGTAAGAGTACTGAATCTCTGAAAATTTTATTGGACAGAGAGGAACAAATCTTAGTACTAAGTTCAGAGGAAGGAAAGTTTTTTATGGTTCAGGGAATAGAAAGTTACTTAATTTGCAAATCATTTTAATCAAGCACCATGCAAATCAATTTTGAAGGTAAAATAATGATTTTTATTCTTAAAAAAGAGTCAGATTCTTGGAGCAGTATTACCAGCATTGTTTTAATTTTAAATCAATAATGGGTTTTTATATTTTCAAAGACTATACTATTATACTATTGAGGAAGGAACTTACTGACTTAAATGTTTAAAAACCTGATAGTGAAAAACATATGGTGTTGATTTACCTTCATCTTTATTTTAAACAAAAGGTAGTATTTTTGAAACACCTGTAACTTGCTTTGCATAATTCCTGTGACAATAATTCAATACTTTTCACATGAATATCTTCCTAAGTTATACTTTGAAAGTACTGACAGTTTGGTTGAAGACTTTTCAAGGAATAATGCATCATAGAATAATTTTTTTTGTTTTTGCCTTATGGCCACAACTCTCTTTACAATTTACTGAGAATATTTTCATACAGTAAATAGACATTTTTTAAATCTAGATTACTGCTGCTGATGCTATTGCTATTACTACCACTAGATAGTAATCAAACAGGCACATGCACTATGTGTGGTGTGTTACATTTATCACCTCATTTAATCCTTACAGCAACTGTGTGAGACAAAGACACTGATCTAATTTTACAGATGAAGAAACTGAGGCACAGAGAGGTTAAGTAATTTGGTCACTGTTTCACAGCTAGTGAATGGGGGGTGCTGGGATTTAGAACCCAAGCAGTCTGAGTCCAGAGCCCCTGCCTTAATTTCTGTAGATATGGAATTTAATCTATTTTTGAGAGTTTGAATTTCCATTTTTTGGTAAGTTTATATAATGTTAGGATTCGACGAGCAAAACAGTAAAATTCTGAAAAAGATCTTAATTATTTAATATTTTTATTCTCTCTAGGTAGGTTTTAAATTTACCAAAAATAAATAAATAAAATTGTGTGACCTCTTTAGATTCAAGAAAGAAGCCATAGATAACTAACTGAGGCATGGTTGTACAACAAAGATGAGTCTTTTTTTTTTTTCATTTATTTATTGAAGGCCTACTTTGTGCTGACTTTGTGTGATCTATTGGTATCTGAAGTAAAGGGCACTACTCATGCTCTTGATTCCTCAGTTTGTTTGGAGAATCAGATGAGTAAAGGGATAATTACACGCATTTTGAGCAGGACTAGATCAGAAGCAAATTTAAATTCACAGAAAAGGATCACCTATCTTGGGGTAGCAACAGGAAGTAAGCAGTCCAGGAGGAATTCATAGAGGAGGTGCTACTTGAACAGCATAAAATTTGAAGGAGGTAGAGTTGTCCCATAGTATCCACCGAGGATTGGTTCTGGAACTCCCACCCCAGTACCAGGACCACCACCTCCCACACCAAAACCTGCAGATGCTCAAGTCCCTTGCATAAAATGGCATAGTATTTGTACCTAACCTACATATATCCTCCTGTATATTTTAAATCATTTCTAGATTACCTATAATACCAAACACAATGTAAATGCTATGTAAATAGTCGTACTGTATTGCTTTTTTAAATTTGTACCTTAAAAACATTTTTTTCTGAATATTTTTGACCTGCAAATTCATATATATATAAAAAAATACTTACATCCACATACTATATGCGTCTATGTATATATCTATATCGACATATTAAGTTGGTGCAAAAATAATTGCGGTTTTGCCATGCGACATGATGGCAAAAACCACAATTACTTTTGCACCACATAATACATATATGATACTTACAAGAGTTATTTATACCTTAAACATAATGATACAAAAAGTTTCACAGTATATTTGTATGGTACAATCTAGTCAACAAATATTTATATAATACAATCTAGTTATATATGTATATGATACAATCTAGTCTGACAATCCTTGTCTTTTAGAAGAGATATTTATTCTATTTACATTTAATATAATTTCTGAGGTATTTTGGCTTAAATCTTTTAATTTTATAAACACTTTCTGTTTGTCTCACTTGTACTTTTCCCTATCTCTTTGTTTTGCATTTACTTAATTGTTTTTATTGCTTCATTTTTTCTGTATTTTAGTTTGTTAGCAAAACATTGCTTAACGGTTAATCTATTATAACAAGCATCTGTATCTTATGAAACCCTGCCTTAAATTAAGTTCTAATCAGGCTCTGATTTTCTATATAATGCAAGGACCTTAAACACTTCAATTTCAACTACTACCTGTCCTACGTAAAATTACTGTCATATATTTAACCTCTACATTTGTTATAAAACTCACAATACATTAGTGTTACCACTTTAAACAACCAAGTGATCAAGTTTTATTTAGTATCAGCAGCATGTTTACCATTTTCCAGTGCTTCTCATCCCTTCTTGCATTACCATACTTCCATCTGAAATAATTTTTATTTTGCCAAAAGAACTTAATTTGGTATTTCTTTTAGTTTAGATTTGCTGACTATGAATTCTCTTAGGTTTTGTTTGCCTGAAATCATTTTTATTTTACCTTCTTTCTAGAAGATTATTTGCACCAGTAAAAAAAAATCCATGTTGGCAGTCATTTTTCTTTCAGCTTTGACTTTTATTATTTTTGTTTAAAACTCAGCTTTCAGTCTTTTTGATAGCTTCTCTAAAAATAATATCTTCTTTTCTCTGGCCTCCTTTAAAATTTCTCTTTGTCTTTGGTTGCCCACATATAGTTCTGTTTGTATTTACCCTATATGGGTTCATAAACTTTTTTGAATCCGTGGGTAAATTCTTACCTAGTTATAGCTACAATATTGCTTTTTCTTTATTCTCTGTCTCTTCTCCTTTTGAGACTCCAATTACATGTATATTACTTATGTTCTATATGTTTCTTACTTTTTTTTTGGTATTTTAATCCTTTTCTTCTGAGTATCAGTCTTGATTTTTTAACCTGACCAATGTACTAGTCCTCTCTTTTGGTGTATCTATTCTATAGAAATTATCTTTGAGTTCTTCTTTTTAATTATATTTTTCAGTTCTACAAGTTCCATTTGATACTTTTATTGTAGATTTCAGTACTCTGATAACACACTCCATTTATTTATTTTTTCCTAGAAATACTGCTAATAATTATTTTAATGTCTGTTTTATATAACTTTGATATTTGTATTACCTCTCAATGTACTTTTATTCCTTGCTTTTTCTCTTGGTTTCAGTCATGAGGCCCTGTTTTATTTCCTCATTGGAATTTTTTATAGAATGGTGTACCCTGTAAGTGACAAGATATAGAGGCTTTGGATAATGTTATTTTCTTTCACAGAAGATTTAAATTTCTTTTGGTAGAATGGTCGAATAAGAGAAAATAACTTTGATCTGGTTGAGCTGAACTGTTTCCAGTTTGCCCTTAGTTCTATAGGATAGACCTTCAAGAGATCTCAAAAAAGACTGGACACTTCTTTGGTGAGCCCTAAACTCCAGTTTTTGTGTCCCTAACACAGTAAGAGTGTAACAACACTGTGCTCAGCTTTTTAGCCTTTTATTGATGCTTTCTGCTTGATCTATCAGAGATTCAGCTTGCATGTTTTACATTTTAAACAGACTACTGGTCATGCTTCTCTATGGTTCCCTTTCTCTGGAGTTTTGATCTTTCAAGTCCTGACTGTCTTTGTACCATTGAATTTCAACTGTATACTGCTGTTTCTCTTTGGCCTTTTCATCTTGCCCTGTGATTGACAAATGCCCTGAGGGTGAAAACTGCTGTGAACATAGGCCTCACATCAATATGCTTCCCTTGGCTCAAATATTGGCTGCCTTGGTTTGGTCTTAGATATTTTATAGTAACCTTTTTCTTGGTATTTTATCAGTTGTTATAATTCTTATTAGTGGGAGAGTTATTATCCTATCCTGCAAGTGTTGGTTTGAGGCACCTGCCCAGATGAGGATGTTCAGTTCGCACTATGAGGTATAAGAAAGGAATTCAGGGGTGAGATTTATACCGAAGCCAGGGATTAAGAGTCATTGTAATATAGAGGTTTCTAGAGTTTATGGGATGGGAATGAATGAGTCTTTTAAGGAAACTGTGGAGTGTGCTAAAACACCTGAGATGGTAATCTTGATAAATACCACGTTTTGGGCTGAGTAGGGCAAGAGGAGTGGCTATAGTTGTTAGAAGAAATCCAGAAAATTATAATGCCACTGATAGTAAGAAAAAAATTTCAAGAAAGTTTGGAGTGTCAATCATTCAAGAGAAGTCAAGAGAAGAAATAAAAAGTGTTCATTGCATTAAATGGGAAATTTATACATAATATTGGCTAGAGAGATTTTAGAAGTCAGAGGGCAGTAGGTTAAAGAGGAGAGCAAGTGAAAACAGTGAATACAGACATATTTTGAGAAGTTTAATTATAAGAAAGAGAGAAAGGGAAAGGCCTTAGCATTCATATAGGTTGAAAGGGAAGTACTACCAGGGAGCAATAGGTATTGCCTAAGTTCTATGACAGCAGTGGCCACATCTGTATTGTGCTTAGTAGCATCTTTAGCAGTTAACAGAGGGCAGGGACATGCTTGGCGTTCAGTATTTTTGTGTTGAATGAAGGACTTAAATGGAGCTAATGAAGACAAAATTGAGACAAGGGATATCCAATGAAAGGAGATCACTAAGAATTTGTTGGGGGCAGGGATGGAATACAGAGAACTGAAGGAAGAAACCCTTCTACTAAGTTAGGAAAGATGCAAATGAGGAGAGGTGAAGGTGCACGTAAGTTTATAGGTGTGTGAATGGGGTAAGCAGTTGAGAAAGTTCTTGATTTATTTTCTCTGGGAGGGAAGAAGTTAGAGTGGTGGAGGGTGCTGGGATCAGAGGGCTGGCTAAGTCATTGTTTGAATATAACAGAGAATATTAATCCATGTCCCTAACTGGCAATTGATTTATGTCTTCCTTTCTTCTATTACAAAAACACACCTTTACTGAATTCCCTTGTACAAGTCTTCTTCTCCATGAAGTTCTTCAATGGTATTGGTAGAATTTCTAGGTGGGGGTATCTTCAATATTACTTAATCTTGCAGAATCACTTGTTAAGATATTATGAATTTACAATGCACCCATGTCGTGTGTGTGTGTGTGTGTGTGTGTGTGTGTGTGTGTGTGTGTGTGATTTTTCAATCATCAGCCCAGAGTTTGGAAGAGAGAAAGTAGGTATTTGGTGCCACCTATGGTTGATGTTTTATTGGAAGTGTGACAGAGGACATGGGTCAACAAAGTTGAAATGGTAAGAAAGGAAATAAGGACTGGAGTAGAAAGGTAAATTGAAAAGAAATGGAGGTTCAAGGAGTTGAAGATTGCAGTGTGGTCAAAAGCAAGTATATGAGAGAACAGGAAGTTCTAAGGCAGGCTAGGATAATGTGATGAGAGTGTGGAATATCGTTTAAGATTTTTGACTGTACATCAGTTACAGTAATTATAACATACAAATCTCTATAGCAGAAATAAAGTGGAGATGAAGGTGAATAGACTAGAACATTAATAGAACTGGGAAGACTGGGTGTTAAACACATCACTTACAATTGCCATTAAATTTATCCAGGATAACAGTTGGACGTTCCCCTAGATTATGTCACACATTTTGAAGGATCTTTTTCTGCCAGATAGCAGATGGGATGCAGACCCTGAAAATGCAGTACAGCAGCATGTGATCTTTGCCGAAAGAAGTTGGGAGCAGTCTTTATTTTGGCAGAGAGAAGGCTTTGCAATAAGCAGTGCTTGGAATTAAGACAAAGGTGTTTAGATGCAATGGTTATTGCATACGCTCAGTCTGATAAGTGGTCAGGGCTGAGTTGCAACAGATAGCAAAGAGGAAGGGACTGCAAATAACTATTCATGTCACATTTTACTCTATAATTTGATGTTTTGGGATCAGTGGAGATCAGTTGCTCAGTTGGGATCTCCATGACACATCCTACCCAAAAGCTGTTGATGCTACTAGTAGAGAGAGAAGTTTGAGAAGATGAGAAGTAAATGACTTTATGAAGATGGGACTGTCAAATATGCTTTATTCCCTTTGGTAATCCGCAAACAGTGGAAAGTCACTTCCCACCCTGGAGTAATGGTAAAGTCACCATGCCATATAGTACCTTAGTATTTGAAAACTGAATTTATCAGGCAGTTGGAGAAACTGCCCAAGTGTGTCATTTTGATTATAAAGCAACACAGGAGTGGTGGGGCTTGCAATCCTGAAGATGGTTGATTATTCCAGGTAGATGTTGAGGAATCACACAAAGTTACAGCTCCATCATTCCTGCTATTTTATATTGTTACTGAATCTTCTGTCAGTCCAGGCCAGCTGTGTTACAAGTTGTATCTCTTGTCTCTACAGTGGCAATTTACTTGACTATAGACCAATTTATCTATCATTTCTTCTTGCCTGAAAGTGGAAAAACAGAAACAGTTACATGCCCTCAGTTGGAGAACCTGGAATGCTTTTTTAACCCATTTGCCAAATGAACCGATTCATTTCTCACTTGGTTGAGTGGTTAGAATAAACTCTGTAGTTTGGTGAAAAAGTATTTTGTTTAAACCCTCTGAATTCCCTTTGTCTCTGAGTATCTGTCTTTTAAGAAAGAAACTCTGAAGTTTAGCTACAAAGATGGACACATGATTGGTTATTAATTGTTCTTACTGAACTTTAATCCTAGCTTATAGGTATTGATTGAGAGAAAAAGAAAAAAATCCTACCTGCAAGAAAATAATTACAAAAGTTAGAAGTGCCAGCATCTCCAAATGAGGAGGAACCAGAGTAAAAATTCTGGCACCATGAAAAATCTGAATGTAGTGACACCACCAAAAGATCATACTAGTTCTCCAGTGGTCACGAACCAAAATTGAAACTCAGCAATGACAGACAAAGAATTCAAAACATGAATTGTGAGGAAGCTCAACAAGATCCAAGATAAGGTTGAAAATAAACACAAAGAAACTTCTAAAGTAATCTAAGAAATGAAGAAACAAATAAACATCTTTAAAAGGAAATTAATTAGAGCTTCTGGAATTGAAAAGCTCACTTAAGGAATTCCAAAATACAGTTGGAAGCTTTATCAATAGATTGGACCAAGCAGAAAGAAAGAATTTCAGAGCTTGAAGACCAATCTTTCAAACAAACCCAGTAGGACAAAAACAAAGAAAAAAGAATTTTAAAAAATGAGCAGTCTTTATGAAATATGGGATTATGTAAAGCAACCAAACCTACAAATTATTGGCATTCTTAAGAGAGAAGGAGAAAAAGCAAACAACCTGGAAAACATATTTGAGAGAATAATTCAAGAAAACTTCCCTAATCTTGTTAGAGAAGTAGACATCCAGATACGAGAAACGCAGAGAATACCTGTTAGATACTATACAAAATGAATATCACCAAGGCATATAATCACCAGACTGTCCAAGGTCAATGCTAACGAAAAAATCTTAAAGGCAACTAGAGAAAAAGGTCAGATCACATACAAAGGGAACCCTGTCAGGTTAACAGTGGACTTCTCAGCAGCAACCTTACAAGCCTGGAGAGACTGGGGGCCTATTTCCAGCATTTTTTAAGGAAAGAAATTCCAACTAAAAATGACATATCCCACCAAACTAAGCTTCATAAGCAAAGGAGAAATAAACTCTTCCAGGCAATCAAGCACTACCATAATTTGTTACCAGTAGTCTAGTCTTACAAGAAATACTGAAGGGAGTCCTAAACATGGAAACAAAAGAACAATGTCTGCTACCACAAAAACACACTTAAGTACATAGCCCACACACCCTATAAAGCAACCACACAATAGAAACTACAAAGCTATCAGGTAACAACTTCAAAACCTATCCTATTGTGGTTAACAGATCACTATTAACCTTGATGTAAATGGTCTAAATGCCTTACTTAAAAGACACAGAGTGACAAGTTAGATGAAAAAGCAAGACCCATTCAACTGCTCTCTTTTAGAGACCCACCTTACAAGTAAAGCCTCAAAGTAAAAAGTTGGATAAAGATCTACTATGCAAATGGAAAACAAAAAGGAGCAGGGATCACTATTCTTATGTCAGATAAAACAGACTTTAAACCAACACAGTAAAAAAAAAATATTAAAGAAGGGCATTAAACAATGAAAAAGAATTCAATTCAACAAAAACGTAACTATTCTAAATACATACACACCCAATATTGGAGCACCCAGGTTCACAAAACAAGTACTTCTAGACCTATGAAAACACCTAAACAGACACACAATAACAGCGAGGAACTTGAACACCTCACTGTCAGCATAGATAGAAAGCATTGTAGCAGAAAACTAACACAGAAATTCTGGACTTCAACTTGACACTTGACCAACTGGACCTAATTGATATCTACAGAATACTCCACAAATCAACCAGAGAATGCACATTCTTTTCATGTGCACGCAGAACAAACTACAAAATGGACCACAGGCTTGGCCATAAAAGAAGTCTCAATAAATTTTAAAAACTTGAAGTCATACCAACAATATTCTCAGATCATAGTGGAATAAAAATAGAAATCAATACCAAGATGATCTCTCAAAACCACATAATGTATGAAAATGAAACAACTTGCTCCTGAATTTGGGTAAACTATGAAATTAAAGCAGAAGTCCAAAAATTGTTGGAAATAAATCAAAACAGAAACACAACATACCAAAATCTCTGGACTGCAGCAAAAGCAGTGTTGTGAGGAAAGGTTATTGCATTAAACATTTATCTAAAAAAGTTAGAAAGATCTGAAATTAACAATCTAACATCACACATAGAGGAACTAGAAAAACAAGAATAAACTAGCCCCAAAGCTAGCAAAGGAAACTAATAACTAAAATCAGAGCAGAACTGAACCAAATTGAGACCCCAAAATCCATACAAAGAATCAATGAAACCAAAAGTTGTTTTTCGAAAGGAAAAACAAGATCAGTAGACTTCTAGCTAGATAAACAAACAAACAAACAAACAAAAAAGAAGCTCCAAATAAGCACAATCAGAAATGACAAAGGTAACATTGCAATCAATCCCACAGAAATATAAAGTATCCTCAGAGACTATTATAAACACATCTATGCACACAAACTAGAAAATCTAGAGGAAATGGATAAATTCCAGGAAACAAACAATATTCTGAGATGGAATCAGGAAGAAATTGAAACCCTCAACAAGTCAATATTGAGTTCCAAAATTGAATCAGTATTAACAATAACAATAAAAAAGGCTACCAACAAAAAAAGCCCTGGACCAGATGGATTCACAGCCAAATTCCACCATATGTACAAACATGAGCTGGAACCAATTCTACTGGAACTATTCCAAGAAAACAAGGAGGAGGGACTCCTCCTTAACTCATTCTATCAGGCCAGCATCACCCTGATACCAAAACCTGGCAAAGGCACAGTGAAAAAAGGAAACTACAGACCAATATCCTTAATGGACATAGATAAAAAATCCTCAACAAAATGCTAGCAAACTGAACCCAATAGTACATCAAAAATTTAATTCGACACTTTTAATCCTAACACTTTGGGAAGCTGAGGTGGGCAGATCACTTAAGCCCAGAAGTTCAAGACCCGCCTGGGCAACATGGTGAAACCCCATCTCCATAAAAAATATACAAAATTAGCTTGGTGTGGTAGCATGCTCCTGTAGTCCCGGCTACTCTGGAAGTTGAGGTGGGAGGATCACCTGAACTCAGTGAGGCTGAGGCCACAGTGAGCCGTGATCACACCACTGCACGCCAGCCTAGGAAACAGAGTGAGACCCTGTTGCAAAAAAAAAAAATTAATTCGCAACAATCAAGTAGGCTTCATTCCTGGGATGCAAGTTTGGTTCAACATATGCAAATTGATAAATATGACTCACCACATAAACAGAATTAAAAAAAAACACTATATGATCATCTCAATAGTCATGGAAAAAGCTTTTGATAAAATCCAACATCCCTTTATGACCAAAACCCTCAAGAAATGAGGCGCTGAAGGAACATGCCTCCAAATAATAAGAGCAATTTTTGACAAACTCATACCAACATCATACTGGATGGGCAAAAACTGGAAGCATTCCTATGGAGAACTGAATCAAGACAGGGGTGCCTACTTTCATTACTCCTGTCCATCATAGTACTGGAAGTGCTAACCAGAGTGATGAGGCCAGAGCAAGAAATAAAAGGCATCCAAATAGGAAAGCAAGAAATCAAACTATCTATCTTCATGGATGCTATGATTCTACACCTCAAACTCTGCCAAAAAGCTACTAGAACTGATAAATGTCTTCAGTAAAGTTTCAGTATACACAATCAATGTACACAAATCAGTAGCATTTCTATGCACCAATAATGTTCAAGCTGAGAGCCAAATCAAGAACACAATCCCATTTACAATAGACACACACACACACACACACATACACACACACTACCTAGGAATACATCTAACAAAGAAGGTGAAAGATCTCTACAAGGAGAACTACAAAACACTGCTAAAAGACATCGTAAATGAACAAACAGATAAACAGATAGAAAAACATTCCATGCTCATGGGTTGGAAGAATCAATATCATTAAATGACCATATGGCCCAAAGCAATCTAGAGATTTAACACTGTTCGTATCAAACTACCAACATAATTTTCCACAGAACTAGAGAAAGCTATTCTAAAATTCACAGGAAACCAAAAAGGAGCCTGAATAGCCAAAGCAATCCTAAGCACAAAGAACAAAGCCAGACGCATCACATTACCTGACTTCAAACTATACAAGAAGCCCACAGTAACCAAAACAGCATGGTACTGGTCCAAAAACAGACATAGACCAATGGAACAGAATAGTGAATCAAGAAATAAAGCTGCACACCTACAGCCATCTCATCTTTGACAAAGCTGACAAAAATGCACAATGGGGAAAGAATTCTTTATTCCATAAATGGTGCTGGAATAGCTGGCTAGCCATATGCAGAAGAATGAAACTATACCCCTACTTTTCATCATGCATAAAATTAACTCAAGATGGATTAAAGATTTTAATGTAAGGACCCAGCCTATAAGAATCCTAGAAGAAAACCTAGGAAGTATCTTCCTGGACATTGGCCTTGGGAAATAATTATTGACTAAGTTCTGAAAAACAATTGCAACAAACACAAAAATTGACAAGTAGGACCTAATTAAAGAGCTTTTGCACAGCAAAAGAAACTAACAACAGAATAGACAAACTACAGAATAGGCAAAAATATTTGCAAACTACGCATCCAACAAAGGTCTAATATTCAGAATCTATAAGGAACTTAAACGACTGAACAAGCAAAAAGCTAAACAACTCCATTAAAAATGAGTGAAAGACATGAACAGATTACTCTCAAAAGAAGACATACAAGTAACCAACAAACATATGTAAAAATGCTTCACATTACTTATCATCAGAGAAATGCAAATCAAAACCATAATGAGATACAATCTAACACCAGTCAGAATGTCTACTATTAAAAAGTCAAGAAAACAAGAAATGTTGGTGAGGCTGTGGAACGAAAGGAATGCTTATACACTGTTAGTGGGAATGTAAAGTAATTGAGCCACTGTGGAAAGCAGTTTGAAGATTTCTCAAAGAATTTAAAACAGAGCTACCATATGACCCAGCAATGCCATTCCTGGGTATATATCCAAAAGAAAATAAATCATTCTACCAAAAAGACATATGCATTTGCATTTTCATTTTACCACTATTCACAATAGCAGAGACATGGAAATCAACCTAGGTGCCCATCAATGGTGGACTGGCTAAAGAAAATGTGATACATATACACCACGGAATACTACACAGCCGTAAAAAAGAACAAAATCGTGTCCTTTGCAGTGACATGGATGGAGCTGAAGGCCATTATTCTAAGTGAATTAATGCAGGGACAGAAAACCAAGCACTACATGTTTTGACTGATAAGTGAGAGCTAAACATTGAGTACTCATGGACATAAAGATAGCAACAATAGAAACTGGGGACTTCTAGATGATGGAGGGAAAGAGGAAGGTAAAGTTTGAAAAACTATTGGTTTCTATGCTCAGTACCTGGGTAATGGGACCATTAATACCCCAAATCTCAGCATCAGGCAATTCACCCATTTAACAAACCTGCACACGTACCCCCTGAAGCTAAAATAAAAGTTGATTTAAAAAAATAAATACCATATGATCCAGCAATCCCACTGCTTGGTATATATTTAAAAGAAAAGAAATCAGCATACCAAAGAGATGTCTGTACTCCCATGTATAAACTTTGATATTCAGAAAAGCCAAGATTGGAATAAACCTAAGTGTCCATCAACAGATGAATGGATAAAGAAAATGTGATATAGATACACAATGGAATATTAGTCCTCCATTAAAAAAAAAGTGAAATCCTGTCATTTGCAACAACATGGATGAACCGGAAGACATGTTAAGAGAAATAATCCAGTCATATAAAGACAAAGGTAACATGTTCTCACTCATATGTGGGAGCTAAAATATGGATCTCATGAAGGTGGATAGTGGAATGGTGGTTACCAGAGGATGTGAAGGGTAGTGGGGAGCAGGGATGAGGAGGATTAGGTTAATGGGTGCAAAAATATAGTTAGATAGAAGGAATAAGAGGCAGTGTTTGGTAATACAATGGGGTGACTACAGTTAACAATAATTTATTGCAAAGCGAATTAATGCAATTTGGAATAAATAACATAATTTGTTGTACATTTCAAAATAACTAGATGAGTAGATTTAGAATGTTCCCAACCATAAAGGAGTTATAAATGTCTGAGGTGATAGTACCCCAAATACACAAATTTGGCCATTACACATTGTATGCTTGTATCAAAACATCACATGCACCCCATAAATATGTGCAACCATTAGGTATCCATAAAAATTAAACAATACAATATTTTGACAGAAAATAAAATAGTTTTAAAAACACCTGAGGTCTTCCTGTATGCTTTTCTTCTTGCCTGAAATGTGGCTTCTGCCTTCACCCCCTTCTCTAAGCTGGTTAACATCTATTCATGCTTTATGTCTCAGCATGAATGTCATTTTTGTGGGAAAGTCTTCCTTGATCTAGCAAACAGGTTAGCGCCTCTCTTACACATAGCCCTCAGCACTTTGTTTTCACGTGCCTGCCACAGGCCTTGTTATTTAGTTTTGCTGTGATATTTACTTAACTATTTGTTTTCCCTGACCATTTTGCAAGCTCCATGAGGACAGGCAATGTAACTAGGTCATTCACTGTTGATTTGCCAGTGCCTAACACAGTGTCTGGCAAAAGTGGGTACAAAAATATTTGTTGAATTAATAAATAACCCAAATTAAGCTTTAATAATCTGAAATATTTGGTTAAAATTTAGGAAAAAACCCCACCAAACATTCTCCTTTTTCTGTTAAAAGCCATATCTAACAACTAAGTACCAAGATCTTGGTACCCGTAAGATCTGTGCTTTTGATGAGATTTACAGTAATTTGTTTTTTTCCTTAAGGACATTGCAAGCCTTAAAATTAATCATGTTTTTCTCATTTACTGGAATTCTAGGAAGGTGAAAGATGAACTTTGCTGAATTCATTAAAAATTTTATCTTGTTCTTTTGTAAACTGAAATACCCTTCAAACCCAAATAGGGTATAAGGAAATAAATAATAAAGAATAATAGTATTTACTTTCTGGAATTAAACTCAAAACCAGAACAGGTATTTGGTATCCTACAATTATCTTTGTTAAGCCCATGGTGGGTATCTGAAAAGAGCTGAGAGTAAAAGAGAGTTTTAAGGGACTGTAATTCTTGCATTGGGGCATATTTTGGCTTGAACAATTGTAAAGCTAATTACCAGCAGAAGAACTGAGTTTATTTATGGTGGATTATACTCCAGAGAGATCGCCTCTCATTTGCTTTCAGAACATTTGCTATCAATAGATTTATGTTCCTGAGGTTTGTGTAATCTGCCTCACACTGTAGTTATGGATGCTGGTGAAGCTGCCAGGAACCTAAGAAGAAAGAGTGTGGATCAGGGCAGCAGCTGGCTTGTCATCTCTTCTTTTCCTAGGATTCCTCCTTTTGAACTAATTTCTATAGCACCCATTTAAAATGGAGGCAAAGAGTGTAACATGGAGATAAGAACCAAAGTTACCCCCACTACAGGATAGGTCTGATAACCATGCACTTCTCTGGGAGGTGAGGTCCCAAGAATCAGGTCCCATGATCTTGATTATCACCAGATTTCTCTAAAGTTACCTTAGGACCTTGAGGTAGAGGAACGAGAGCAGAGAAAGTCTGTTCCTTGAAGATCCTGGTTAAGCATGAGACTCTTTCATGGAAGGGTCATGTTGAAACACTGTGCTTCTTGTGCTGGGTTTAATGGAGAAGCTTCATGTGACGCGTTTTCCTAATTCTATTTCTATACTTGTTCCAAAGTATATTATTAAATTAAATCAGTTTTGTTGAAATACTGTTTTCCTTGATGATTCATCTGGCTGTCAAACCAACTTATTTGGTTTTGTGAAAAATAAAATATTATAGTTCTCTACAGAGTAGATGGTATAGTGACATTCAGTGTTAAGAAAGAAAGAGTTCTTTCTCACCCTCCTTTTAACCCATGGCCTAGTAGGTTAACACATTTAAAAACACTCAAGCAAGACTTGACCTCAAATAATCTTTACAGTGTTCCTAAGAAGCTAAGTATAAGTAAATGGTAACATATGGGATTCATTTTCAAAAAAATAGATTTTGATTCTAAACTGAGTATTTTAAAAAATACACTTTAGATTTGAGCAAGTTTAAAATAGCTAGAAGCAAGTTCAAGATGTTTATTGAAATAGTCTCCATTTTCTACTTTTATTTATACTCAATATGTCTTCTCTCACCCTCCCTGTCCATTGCCCAAATTTCAGTCAAGAATGGGCAATATAATGGGGTAAGACCATGTCCAAATAGTATCTAAACAATGGGATGAAACTAGTGAGAAATTTGTAAAAGCTTTTTTGGCATTAGAAAGAGAAAAAAAATTAAAGAAGCTAGTGGTGGTAGTCTGGTAATGGGGTGTGATTTGAAAGTACTTTTCTCCTTCTTGGGCTCTAAGTCTACTGTCTAATTTCTCTTTGTTTCATAGAAGTCAAAGGACTATTTTTAATGGGATAAGTTCAACGAGAGGGGAGAGAAGATGATAAATGGCTTTCATTGTTGTTTGACTTCAGGGAAAATAGTTGTGGGAGAAGACTCACAGACAGAACCATAACCTAAGAAAGTTTAAAACAGAGGATAGGAGTAATTTGAAAATAAAAAATTGTATTAGTGATAAATTACTTACTGAATACAGCAGGTGATAATCCTCACTATTTTGTAAAAGATTGGCATTATCCCCATCTGCCATGGTTGCTGTTCTTAGTCTATTCACCAAACTGGCTTTGTAATTTCTCCCCCTACTTAAATGATTTCTTATTTCTGCAGATGAAAATAAATGCCAGAAAGCGCTAGAAATTCTGATCACAACTTGAGGATTCTAGGATTAAAATTTCAAATCACTATAATGATCATTCATCAATGACCATGAAGAGCATTTCCTCATCAGAGGACTTTGCATATTCAGCTTGAACATTTGGCAAGCAGGTGAAAAAAGGTAGTTGTGGCAGACATACTCCCAGGTGGCCACCAATGAGTGATGCCCTTGTATAATCCCCTCCTATTGAACCCACAGGGAACCTGTTATTTATTTCCAACCAGTGACAATTGGATGTCACTCTCATGAATATGTTTATTTATATAAGAGAGTGAATGACATCAAGGACCTAAAGACAACCTCCAGTCAACAGCTAGTAAGAAGTCAGGACCTTCGGTTGCAAAGCACAAGGAAATGAATTTTGCCAACAATCTGAATGAATCTGGAGATGAATTCTGCCTAAGTTGAGCCTCCAGATGAGAACACAGCCTAGTCGACTTCCTGATTGTCGCCTGGTGAGATGCTGAGCAGAGGCTTGAGTTAAGCAGTGCTTGGACTCCTACATACAACTGTAAGATAATAAGTGTGTGTTGTTTTAAGCCATGAAGTTAATGGTAATATGTTTGTAGCATGGAAAGTGAATACAATAGTTGACTTGCTCCAGCTACTCCTTCCAAAGATAGGCTGCTCTTTTATTTATCTCTCGATGATTGCAAAAGATCTTATCACTTCCTTGGAAATATGAAAAAAAGGAAAACAAAACAGAAATTCATATCTTAATAAATTAGTTTGCACAAATAGAAGTAATGCCATTGGTAGACTTCCTTGAAAGTGGAAAAAGCATTTAATAAGAGAAGTGTATTAAGAAGCTGTGAAATAACTAAGTTATAAGGAAGTTCAGAATAAATACAGGAAGTCAGTTATCTGAGAAATTAAAAAGACTTGGAAAGTTAGAAGAGTTTAATAATTTTTTGGAAAATCAATATATATTCTATGTAGGGGAAGTTATAACAGCGACTAGGGCTTTTTTTCTTTTTAAGTAAATTATCTTAATAGTCTATTCACAGCATAATATTTATTTCATGGGTATTCATGAAGCATAATTGACTACCAACTACATTTTGAAATCTGCTGAATTTGACATTATTTTCCTTGGAGCCAATGTTCTATATTCTTTCTTTTACTTTGCATCTACTTAAAGCCTTTTTGCATTCTCCTTTCCTTCCTACCAAATTCAGTTCTGATAAGGTGGTCTGGTATCAGGAATCCACTTTGTAAGTCAGGGCTTTATATTCTCAGGACAATTTGTACTTTTAAGCCTTCTCTTGTTCATTCATTCATTCATTGATGCATTTTTTGTTGAATATTTCTAGATGTCAATGTGTTAGATGCTGCGAACATCTAGCTATTGGTGAGCAAAACAGACCTTGTTTCTGTTCACCATCTAGTGAGGAATAGGAACATTAATAAACTAATATCAGAAATTACAGCCTCCAACCAGCATGGGTTGGTGCATTTTGAGGTTAGCCTCCTCTGTATCATTGATACTATAATATCTCTTGGCCCAGAGAGACCTACTCTTGCCCTGGATAGACCTACTTTTTGAAATCTATGCACATACTGCAATGATTCTATGATTAATGGATTGTTGAAAAGAGCATCTTTTTTTTTTTAATAGGACCATTGCATATACTTTCTGAGTACTTCAGAAACGCTGGCAATGAATGCATGCTCTATCTGTGGCATAGGGGAGGTACTGGGCAGCAGAAAATGGGAGCTAGCTTCATAGCTTCTTGCTCACTGTAGTGGAGGAAAATTCAGGGATGAAAGAGAGACTAAGCAACAACACCTTCATCATCAATATGAGCTTAATTTCCCTGAATAAACACTTACACAGATAGGAGCTGTTTTTGAGGTAGGCTAGGTTGCTTATTGCTGATGATGTCTGAAATCAGTTCTGAAAAGATTAATCTGACAATGGCCCAGAGTTTGGGGTCAAGGTGGTGACAAAAAGAAAAGAAAAAGAAAAATGAAACCAGTGTGTATAGTTTATCTATTGAGCCTAAGACGTGGAAGAGAGTTATCAATGGGATGACTGGCTAACATATTCCATACGTCTCTTCATATTTTTTGTTCTTTTAAAAATTATTTCCAGCTGGGCGTGGTGGCTCATGCCTGTAATCCCAGAACTTTGGGAGGCCGAGGTGGGTGGATCACCTGAGGTCAGGAGTTCAAGACCAGCCTGGCCAACATGGCGAAACCCCATCTCTACTAAAAATACAAAAATTAGCTGGGCATGGTGGCAGGCACCTGTAATCCCAGCTACTTGGGAGGCCAAGGCAGCAGAATTGCTTGAACCCAGGAGGTGGAGGTTGCAGTGAGCCAAGATTTCACCATTGCACTCCAGCCTAGGAGACAGAGCCAGACTCCCCCCCAAAAAAAATTTCCACTGTCATTCTCACCCTCTCACAAATGCCTGTATTTTTATTTTGTTTCTATATGTTTTTGGCTTTTTTGTTCCTTACTTCAACATTTAATAGCTCACTCATATACCTTTGAGATAACCTATTAATAAACTGAAGTTAATGGGTAATTGAAAAAGTAACCTACTACACCCAGGATTCTTTGGTGTGTAATAAATGTGGAAAATGCTGATGATAAATCTAGACACTTTTCTGATAGTGTTTTTAAAATAATGTATAAGAAATAAAAGTAAAATCTGTTACCTCATACATAACTCATTTTCCTTCCTATACTTTTTGTGTTTGACCTGTTTGTAGAATTTGAATTTTTATGCCATTAGAAAATAACACAGTATTAATATTTAATACATAGAAACCATAAGTTAGCAATAGTTTTTGAATATTTACTATGTAAAAGGTGATATGTACATTTTCATAGGTAAAGATAATTACCATGATAAGCTTTAGTTTCAAAATCTTATCAGAGAAAATTTCAAGTTGTCTATTATTTAAGATCAAATAATACATAGGTGTGTAGAAATGTAGAAATAGAAAGTGATTTTTATATTTCAAGGTGCTCCCTTTTTCGTCACTGAAGTTTTGAATCTGAGAAACAGAATAGTATTTTAAACCTATATCCCTGATTGAGTCAATAAATATTTATATTCCTCCAACAAGAAAGTCACAGAAATAGGTGTGAGATGGGGAAAGTGCGAAGGCAGCACCTCTGCTCCCTGGAAAACCACAGTCCACTAGAGCTGATGGGACTTATGGACAGATAAAGTAGGCTCTAAGGCTGGGTGTGTAAATGCCACAGGAAAGGTACAAATTGTGGGCCAGGTGCAGTGGCTCACACCTGTAATCCCAGCACTTTGGGAGGCCAAGGCAGGTGGATCACTTGAGGCCAGTAGTTCAAGACCAGCCTGGCCAACATGACGAAACACCGTCTCTACTAAATACAAAAATTTGCCAGGCTGCACCTGTAATTTCAGCTACTTGGGGGGCTTAGGCATGAACATCCCTTAAACACAGGAAGCAGAGGTTGCAGTGAGCCAAGATCGTGTCACTGCACTGCAGCCTGGGTGACAGAGCGAGACTGTCTCAAAAAAAGGTAAAAATTGCAAGGAAGGTACAAAAGGCCCTGGAGGTTTCAATAACAACAAAAAATTCCTCTGGTTGCAGTGTCTGAACAGAGGAAGCATCTGAGCCTGACTTTGAAGGGTGGATAGGAAGAGATAGTATGTGGGGACAGAGTTGTATTGTAGGAAGGACAGATGAGCAGTCATGGAGGAACTGTGAGCCTCTCAGGGGAAATGAGAACAAGCCAAGACAACTGAAGCTTCTGTAAGAAGCCAGGGACCTCCTCAAATACCAGGGTACAGAATTAGGGTTTTGTTTGTCTCACCATGGAGAGTCACTAAAGGTTTTTCATCGGGGAATGGTAGCATTATGGCTGTGACTGAGAAAGATGGATGCAGAAACCACATTGATCATCAGAGCAGGGAAAGGCTGGGGATCGGTGGTCGGTTGGGGGCAAGGACAGGAGCTGGGGAGAGAGTTCACTGGGTGGCAGCAATGATGATGAGAGTGGATGGAAGAGATCCCAGAGAAGGGATCCGCGGGACTTGGCACGTGAGGGCACTGAGAAAGGAGACTGAAGGAGTTGAGGGTGGTTGAAGAGTTTTGAGAGAATGTCAGAAAGAGAAGAGTATCTGTGGCGAAGGGAGATTTCAGTTTGGGACAATAGAATAATTGGTCCTTAATTTTTTATTAGGAAAATAATAGATTTTATTATGATGTAAAAAGAGATAGGTTAACATTACATTCCTAATGTGTCACTGTTAGAGAAAAGTTCCATATTGGAATTCCACAGCAAGCACCGTGGGTGGTGTCATGAGATGTTTGTTTAGAAGACCCCTGGGAAGTCAAGAAGAACTGCTCTTTCTCTGGACACCTCCTTGAACTGGCTGGCCCGTCTCCATCCTTTGACTCTCGTTTTACAGGACTTGTCGTCAGAGACCACTTCACCCCAGTGGACCTGACTATTCTTGAGTGTAGCTTCCTCACTGTACCTGTAGCTTCCTTCATGACACTTGTCACACTTTGTATTTATAGTTGTATACTTATTATCTGTCTAAATTTCCACTGAAAGCATTAGAGTAAGAAACTTTTTAATTAAAAAATTAAAATGTCACCAATACACACTCAAGATATAACATATGCTGGCATTTAATAGAACAAATGAATACTAAATGGGTGTGACAATCTGACCAAGAAGGTTTTTGCAGCTCAAATGAAGATGTGGCTTGCTGTAAGTTTCATACAACATGGCAAAGCCGGTGGGTATTTACAGATCAACTAGAGAAGGAACAGGAAAAAGAATGTATGTTTGTGGAATGTTTACTTAATTTTTTTTTCTGACATCAGCTCTCATATGACCTAATGCACAGAGCGTTAATTTGTTTGGCCAAATTAAATTCCTTTAGTGAGTGAGTGATCACTCACTCCTTTTCCTCACCTTCCCTTCAAAGGGAATAGAGAAACAACTCCATTGCTAATATTGGCTGTCATGGAGGTTGCGACAGAAGATGATTCTTAAACTGGGGGCAGAAGACCTTTGAGGTTTTGTGGAGCTATGTAAAGGGGCTGCAATCCACATGCACACCCAGGACTGTCTGCTGGCTCTATGCATTCACAAATATGTACTGATAAGCTTCAAATAAGCAGACGTTGTGTTTAATAAAACATCAAAATATCTTCTTAATCAAGAAACATTTTGAAAGATTGGTCCCCACCGTAGATTATACTGTTTAGGGTGAATTTTGACTGTGTGACTTTGAGCAGTTATTTAAAATTCAACTTTACAAGATAATGCCAAAATTTTCTCAAAGTAGCTGTACATGTTTATCTTCTACCAGTGGTGAATGAGAGTCCTGCTTGCTCTACATAAATTTAGTTTGTTTTTTAATTTTTGCTAAGCTTGGGGTAAAATGGTATCTTATTGTGACTTTAATTACTAATGAAGTTATACGTATTTTAAGATGCGTAATACATTTGTTAGTTATTTAGATTTTCTCACCTGTGGAATGCCAGTTTATGACTTATGCTCTCATTTTCTACAGGGTTATCTATTTCTTACTGACTTACATGAGGATGTTTTTGTGTATTATTTTTGGTATGAGGTTAAAATAATATTTCTAGTATATATCTTTTTCTCTTCTGTTTTTTTGTGTGTGTTGCAAAACCTTCTCCAAGTTTGTAACTTGTTTATTTTTTTTCCCACTCTATGGCATCTTTTGGTAAAAAAATTATTAATTTTTCCTTGGACAAATTCACCAGTCTTTTCCTTTATGGTTAGCACATTTTGTGTCTTAAGAAATCCTTTTGTTCTCTAGGTCATAAATGCATTATCCTTTTGTTCTCCCTACAAGTCTGACAGGTTTGCCTTCCGCATTTAACTTTTAATAATCCTAAAATTATAAGTTTTGTACACCTACTTTCATTGTGCTGTTTTTATATTTATGCAGCAGGTGCCCAGGGCTGTCAACTGCCATCATGTAAGCTAGGATACATTACAACAGATGTGCCCAAATATGAATACTCTACAAATCAGAGCCACCAACTTTTCATCCTGGGGCAGATTTGCAAGCTCAGCTCCAAAATGCAACTTGTGACTTCTTGGAAAGCAACAGTTCGTTATTTCAAATAATTTAAAAGCTGCATGATAACTTTGTGTTTCAAACTAGACTCTCAAAATTTTTAGTATTTTTGGTCTTTAGATGGCTAACTTGATCTTTTCTCTCATCTGGAAGAAAATGTTCTGTGACCATGTGAGATAAAGGAATGACTAGAGGTGACACTATGAGAAACATCATCTAGAAATGCTAGATGACAGTAAAAGTAGCCGATGCTGATGAGAGGTGAACAGCAACTTGTGTTCCTACTCTTTAAAAGATTTTATTTCAAGGCTGTTAATAGTGACTTTGTATATTTTAGCAAATTCAGTGTCTAGGGGGTCTCATTTTTATATGGTAAAAATCCCGCCTTACATGAACTAAGAACAGTATATTCAAAAATTGTCTGGAATTTTATGTTTGTTCTCCATGAAATGTCTAATTATCCAAAAGCTCTCAACCCTTTTCCCCTAAAAAGATATTAGGGCAAAGTTTTAAGGATGTCTAGTCTCAATGGAAAACTATGAAAAATGGCTTTAGTTTTTTTCTAATATGATTTTTTCTGTAAGAAACAGTTAAATACATGATTTTTTCTGTCATTTCTTTAGAGAATAAAAGGAGATCCAAATCATACTGACTAATAATAGTAACACTTGCCTTAAATTGCATCAACATTAGTCTTCCATTTTATATCTGTGTCAAATTAAGTGATAAACTTACATTACATCAGATATCTGGCCCTGTGAAGATCTAGGACAATCTCATATGAAATTGATGATTTATTAATAGTTTCCAAAAGTGGATTTAGGCTATCCTAGATATTAAGCAAATTTAGAGAATGCCTTAGTTATTTTCTTGAGCTTTGTCTTAAAAATATGGACTGAGAGCTGAGCGTGGTTGTTTGTATCTATAATCCCAGAGACTCAGAAGGCTGAGGCAGGAGGATCATTTAAGGCCAGGAGTTTGAAGCTGCAGTGAGCTATGATTGCCTGAGCGACCAAGTGAGACCCTATCTCTAGTAAAATAAAATAAAATAAAATAAAATAAAATAAAATAAAATAAAATAAAATAAAATAAAATAAAGATATGGGTTGAAGGTAGTATCGTTTGGTTGAAACAATACAAAATAGTAAATTTTCAAGGGTATCAGAATGAAAAAGAGGTAGTGTAGTTAAACTTAATCCCAAGTAATAACTATCCAGACCGCTGGCCCACTTTTAAACTGAGAACACACTTGCTTTCCTTTGCATCCTTTGCCAGAATGTGTGTAACACTTCGAGCTGGGATTTCAAGGACAGTCAATACAGATTACTACAGAATCTTATTTATATGACATCCTGGGTGTTCTGAGAAAAACCTGGGAAACCTATGCAATAGTTTATAGATGAGCGGGACTTCCATATTAGGTTTTGCCTTGGCTATGAGCATGATATGGGCCCCTATTGCATAATCCCTCTTGATGGAGAGGTACCTCTTGCAATGAAAGTCAAATGCATTATTTTGGCTACTCAGTCTTCCCAGCTGCCACATGTCTTATTTTATGTCTAGTGGGCAGCTGGTTACAGCTGCCTGGAGACAGTTTTATTCATCAGAAGTGAAGTTTTATTCATCATTGGTGAAGTCTGGTGCTTCTCGAAACTCATATCATGGGTGGTAAGGTGTCTCCACAATGATGCTGATGAGAGAGTCCAAGCAGCTTTGGGGGCTTTCAGAGGACTCCCCTGACTGCAGAGGGATTCTGAAGCCTCAGTTTCCAATCCTGATCCAACATTCCATGTTTTGTGGACTAACCATTCATTCTCTTCTAAACTTTACTGTTATTGTTTTTTAACCCAATGATCTTGATTATCCGATGTCTATCTTTGAATCCTCAAAAATGGATAGAAATATCAATGCAGGGGAGAGACATAGGATAACGGCCCTCTAGGGTAATGCCTCTGCAGAATGACCAGTATTTTGGCACTATTAAAAGTGTGTGTTCTTGAAAGATCTTGTCACAACTCTTGTTTCCAATTTGTGTAGGAGATCTAGTGACAATACTGGATCATGTGAGGGAAGTGTGTTGTGGACAACAGAGCCACAGGTGAGGAGAAACTAGCAAAGCAGTTCTAATGCTTACACTGGACTGATTTCTGAAAAACAAAGTACAACACAACAAAACAAATTTCTTTCTTGTTTGAGTCCTGATGTGTGTGCATTGCATTTGTTGGAGCAGTTAGACCAAACCTTCACACCGATAATACATCTTTTGTGCTTTCTTTCCCTTATGAAAAATTAGCATTTATATATCTATTAGAGGTGTTTTGTGGTATAGATAGGCAGAGATGTTGAGAAGTCTTAAAACCTTAGAGTAGGGCACAGCACTAATCTACCACCTAATGGAGAAATCTCCTTTACAACTGTCAGTGTAAGTGCCCACCCTCTGCTGGAATGCCATCACACTGCTTGAGGCAACACCATATGCCATAGGCAGACAATATAAACTGAAGCTGGAAACAGAAAGGACTCCTTCAACTCCTAATTCACAAATTTCAAACTTTATTCATTTTTTTTCTTCTCTTGAATTTAACTCTGTCTCTTTGTAACCTCATTTATTGGTCCTAGTTTTGTCCTCTGCAGGTACATAGCAGAGTGTGCATGCCTTTCCATAGGATATATAAAGAAAGAATGTGTTATCTTAATAATAAGGAATACTTATTAAGTACGAACCATGTGCTCGGCTCTATTCTCTGCTTACAAACATGGCCTCATCCAATCACTGTAATCCTATTGGATAATTCCTATTAATGTCCTGATTAATTTAATATTAGAGGCAGCCGAGTCAGGCTCTGAACTCTGGAGGTTCCATGCCAGAGCCCATACTGTACCACTTCTCCTACCTTACCTCTTCTTTTTCTTTTTAACCCTCTGAGATCTAGACATCCCCCGCTGTCAGTAAGTTATCCAACAACAGAGTCTTCATCACTTTCTCTTGTTCATCCATGGTCATTGTTATTTGTCTGGCTTGAGGTCCTCCTATTCCAGGTGGTCACACTGGTGATGCACTCAGTCAGGTTGTAGATGAGCAGGTAGGCCAAGCATGTCACTCCTACTATGCATAACATTGAGTCATTAGTCAGCCTTCTTTGGGCTTTTCATTCACTGTCTCCCTTGGTGAGTGAGCCTTTGTCAAATGTTTGCAGATTCAAAAACATAGTTTTCTTCTTCCTTTGTTATCAGAAAAAAGTGCATTACATTTTAGAACAAGTTCTAGTATTATTTTCCATTTATTACAGATGGTTTAGCATGTACATTTTAACTTAAAGGAAGTCATTGGAACTATTAAGGACTTCAAGAAGGTAAAGATTTTAGGAACTATAATGATGTGCTGAACTTAGAAAGGACAACAAGCAGATAGCAAACTGTAGAAAACAATGCAGCTGTTCCATCCAGCTTTAGTAATTAGAATAATAATGGTATATTTGAAAGCTTTCACTTGTTTTCCTCCATTCCATTTAATATTGCTATATGATTCTTAATACTTTTAGACAGCATACTATATCCACATATTAAGATCGTTTTGTCAAAATACATTCAAGGTGGGCTTGACTCACAAACTAACTGTTCTTATTTTATGGATAATACTCATTCTTGTATTAGATTTCTGCTTCTTCTCTGTATTACTGTAACTAACTTTCCGTTTCAATTCAGGAAGATCAAGGAAGCCTAGGTCAAACCTGGTGAAAGTTCAAGTATAATATGAGTTGAATCAGGTTGAAATCAGCCAGTAGAATGAAAATAAATATAAGAAATTGTTTTTCCTGATATTAAGTATTTTACTATGTTCACATTGAAGTGTACATTTTGTAGGAACTCTAGAATTCAGAAATAAAATCATAATTTGGTTGCTCCTCTAATTAATTAGATACCAGGTGTACCCTATGCAAGGAAACACATGTTGGATATCAGAGTATCTGCTGTATTAGGTTAGATACCCTTTTATATCATATGACATTATGAAAGGGAAAGAGGAGAGACGGTGTCAAGAAAAAGGAGGGCTGCTGGGTGAACCACTCAATTCCCCCCTCTACCCCAATCACATTTAATTTAATTACATTGAGATCCCAATCACATTTAAAACTAGGATCTCACTAAGATTGTAGGATCTCTGGAAGGGAAATAAAAATAAATGCCACCAAATGACGGTGCAGCAATTTTCTTATCAGCACCTGATGTTTGGGCCATTCATAGTTGATAATTTTTTTTCTTCATTATAGTTCTGAGAGGCAGGCAACACTGTTTTAAGACAGCTTATTTCAAATTTCTCTAGAGCATTTGTGTTAAAAGATACCTTGTGCAAAAATATTCAAAAGTTATATATGGTTCAAATAGTTTTCTTTACTTCCAGGTTTCTCAAAACCTTTAATACAGCAATAGACATTGAGAATCCAGGGGATATCGGAGTTCCCCAAACTTATTTGACTGCAGAATCTTTAAATTTTTTTTCTGAAGAATGCCATGCAAAAATTAATATTACATGGGATACACTTTTAAAAATGCTCTTTTGAAGACTCATTGGATAGCTGCAATGTTAAAAATCAATATGGTAAAATTTGTTCATATTGGGAGTTGAAATAGATTAGGCCTTACTTATATTAGTAATGACATGAGTTATTAATTCCTGCACAATATTTTATAGATAATTCTAGAAACTCTGAAAACTAACAGTAAGTTAGAGGAGGGATCCCAGGAGTTTATAATTTCGCTATTATAGCACCCACTAAGATTCCAATAACATTTGGAAAGTCCTTTTGCTTATAAGAAAATCCAAGTTTGGTTGACAAGCCATAAGCTTTGCCTTCCTTTCTGGTGTTCCATATATCTCATGTCCTCTGCAAACCTTTTCAGTTTCTATTGAGTTTTTAAAAGTAATGTGTCAGGTTCTAATGCTCCTGCTGGTTTAAGGAAAAATGCTCTCACTAATAAATTATAATGAATTGTCAGTCTCAGCAGGCCTATGACCTTCAGTCTGTGGGGGGTTCGAGGCTAAACTCTATTTCCCCCTCTTCTTGTTGGAGCAACTTTTCTTGTTCTAGCCTGTCCTCTTAATTTATGGGTGGGCTGCCCACAAGACAACTCACCTGCAAAAATAGTTCATGCTGTGGTGTTTATTATACTAAGTAGGTTTCATGCTGACTGAGAGTTTTTACAAGGGGATGGAGTTGCTGTCAAGATCCTCCATCATCTGAGCAAAGCTAGCACTCAAATTCTCTCATATTTCAGCATATTAAATTTAGTGGGGGTGGAAATGGGATGGCTGAAAGTGAGAGAAGAGACAGTGGTGTGAAGGCAGCTTAAGTGTCTTGTTCAGGGGCTTCTGTAAATGTGACTTCAGTAAAATGCATCAACAGGACAGCCAAATAAAAGGCATGCATTAGAAGCATTAAAACCATGCCCTGCTAGCACAAGGTAATGAAAAATCTCTGCAGCCTACGTGAAGGAATGCTGAGATGTGTAGCTTTAGGTTGATTTTTTTGTAAGCTGAGTGAAATATTCACTGGGTATGTTTTCTTTATTCTCCAGTTTTAAACATTCCTGGCTTATTAAATTAATATGTTCTCTTTATAGAGAATTTGAAAATAATAAAATACTGTCAAAAAAGAGAGAAAAAAGTCCTGCTCTGCTCTCTTAGGAGCAATTATTCTTAACACTGCAGTTTTCTTTCCAGTGAGTCTTCTATGCAATTTTTCCATAGCTGTGACAGTAAAATACATAAAGTTTTGTTCCTACTTTTTTACATGACATGATATTATAAGCATTTCCCATATTACTGAAAACCCTTTGCAAATTTATATCACTTACGCTAAACAGTGTTTTACAACATACATGTATTGTTTAGTTATTTTCTTATTGTGGAATTGCCTTAATACTGTGTTCAGCAGCTCAGCAACGTGGGCTTTTATGACTGTCTTCTTTTTCTTCCTCTTTTTTTTTTTTCTTTGCAAAGTCTTGAAAATCTAGTTCCTTCCTGGAGCTCAGGACCTTTGCACTGCCATTTCCTCTGCCTGTAGGACTTTCCCCCAGATCTGCAGAGGCAGGCTGCTGGGAGACTCTAGGAGATAGTCATTCATTTACTGTTTACTCTGGCCCCTCTGGATCATGAGCTCCTTATCTGCCTTATTGTGCACTAACTCTCTAACCCTTTAGCAGGGCTGGCACATTGTAGGTGAGCAATAAATACTTATTGTATGAAGTTATAATGTTGAGTGATTAGGTTATTTCTTTTTTGCATTTTAAGCTTTTATTAATATTATTAAAAAAAACCTTTGGGCTTATATTTTTATCTGCATTTTGGATTGTCTCCTTAGAATTGATTATTAGAATAAAAACTCCCAGGCCAAATGCTCAAGTCTGACCATTTTAATATTTTTGATACATGCCAGTTTTATCAGGAGAGAAGGGGCATGTTCTTCTAAGCTTAACCTTAACTCTAATTTTTATTCTCAGCAGAATTGGCTCATTTTTAAACTAAATCCAGTAACAGTTGCTGATTTTTTTTTGCCAAATATTTTATGCAGTTTTAATTTGATTTCTTTGATGACTGCAAATTTGAAATCTTTTTTATCTGTGTTTCTTCTTTTGTGAATTGTTTAAGTGCTTTACTCTGTTATCCCTTGGGTATCTTGGTATTTTCTTATAAATTTCCATGGGAATTTTTTAAAGCTAAAATGTGAGTCTTTTGTGTATTGCATTTATTAAAATTTTTAGTTGTTAAGTATCATTTAGACTCAAATAAAATATAATAAAAATTTTATTTTTGAGTCATTTAGAATTCAGATTAATCAGTCTTTTTTTAAAAAATTGTTCCTTTCAGCAAGAAAAAAAAATAAACCCATCAAAAAGTGGGCAATGGATACAAGACATTTCTCAAGATATACACACAGCCAACAAACGAAAAAATGCTCAATATCACTAACCATCAGGGAAATACAAATTAAAATCACAATGAGATACCACCTCACTCCTGCAAGAATGGCCATAATTAAAAAGTCAAAAACCAAGAGACGTTAGTGTGGATGTGGTGAGAAGGGAACACTTCTACACTGCTGGTGGGAATGTAAATTAGTACATTTGGAAAACAGTATGGAGGTTCCTTAAGGAACTAAAAGTAGAGCTACCATTTGCTCCAGCAATTCCACTACTGGGTATCTACCCAAAGGAAAAGAAATCATTATATGAAAAAAACACATGCACACACTTGTTTATAGCAGCACAGTTCACAGTTGCAAATATATGGAACCAATCTAAGTACCCATCAACCAATGAATGGATTAAAGAAATGTATTACATCTATAACATGGTATACTACTCAGCCATAAAAAGGAATGAAACAATGTCTTTGTAGCAACTTGGATGGAGCTGGATGCCATTTTTCTAAGTGGAGTAACTCAGGAATGGAAAACCAAATATCATATGTTCTCACTTGTAAGTGGGAGCTAAGTTACAAGAATGAAAAGGCATAAGAGTGATGAAATGGACTTGGGGAACTTAGGGAGGGTGACGGATAAAAGGCTAGATATTAGGTACAGTGTAGACTGCTTAGGTGACAGATGCACTAAATCTCAGAAATCACCACTCAAGAACTTATCCATGTAACCAAAAACCAACTGTACCCCAAAAACATTAAAATTAAAAAAATTAAAAATAATAATTTGTTCCAGAATTTTTAATCTCAGAAAATCTTACCCTATTCAAAGATCAGATAAATATTCACCTATCTTACACATTTTTAATGGTTTGATATCTTTTTATAACTTTAAATTTCTTAATTGTCTGATTTTGTTTTTGTATATGGTATAAGGTGAGGATCTAAACAGAATTTTTTCCAAATGTCAAGTAACTGTCCCTGTCTTTTCAAGTTATTCATGATGCCTCCTTATCTCGAAACACTTTTGAATTAATGCATACAAATTCAAATATTGTTATTAAAATTAAAACAATTTAAATGTCTTCATATCTTTTAGAAAACACCTAATTTTGTTGTCTTAAAACATGAACAAACTTATTTTGAGTGTTTTACTGACTGCTGAGAAAGTGTTTTGGAATATTAGTGAAGGCTTTGCAAAATCCTTTTAAATTATGTAACTTTTAATATCAAAATTTTAAAAAATGCTGGTATAAGGAAAGATAACAAAATTATAAAGCAAGACAAGGCTGAAATAAAATATAATAATGTATAATACAATGATTTAATATCCAGAATACATGAAGAACTTGTATAAATCAATAAAAAGACAGCCAAACAAAAAAATGGGAAAAAAGTTAGAAATAGGCAATTCATAGAAGAAAACATGAAAATGGCTAATGAACTAATAAAATATGCTCAGTCATGTGTAATTTAAAGCTGTAGTTTAAAACAGAAAGATCAATTTGGCAAAAACATTTAAAAGGCTGATAATACTCAGTACTTTCGAATACTTTGTTGGATGTGTAAACTAGAAGAGTCATTTTGAAAAGCATTTTGGTAATTCACCTATGTGAATTAAAAATGAATATACACTTCAGCCTAGCAATTTAATTTTCAGATTTTTAGACTGGGAAACTGCTCAGATATATCTCCAGAGAGACATTTTAAAGACCTTTTAATGGATGCTTAAAAGATTGTAAAACTGAACCATTTTTTTCACAACCTAAATTTTCATCAGTGGGGTAGTGGCTAAATTAAACATAGTACAAACATACTATAAAATACTATTCAACATTTAAAAAGAATGAGATAATGGCATACTGGCATAGAACTGCTAAGTGTAAAGAAAGTTGTAGAATAATATATACAGCATAAACTAATCTGTAGTATGACTGTATCTACACTATAGTCACGAAGCAATGCGCTATGGTTCTAGATTCTGTTATCTACCTATCAATCAATCAGCCAAAACATGTAAGCACATAGGGAATAAATCTGGAATGACAGATACTATAACAGTAATAGTAGTTACCTGAGAAATGGAGAATGGGGATTGATTGATGGCAAAGGCAGATTTCTACTTTTTTCTTTAGTTTTCAAATGCAGATTTCTACTTTTTTCTTTAGTTTTCAAATGCAGATTTTGAATAGGGGTGGCTTTTATTTATTTATTTATTGGGTTGCTTTCTAATTTTGTTTTTTACAAACCAATGCTGCAATAAAAAGTTTTGAAAATTTCTCAGGTATAAATATTTACTTTATTTTAGAAACAACATTGCATTATGCTAGGTGAACATGACCTGTATTATATTAATTTTTTAAAAAATTACTAAGACTTTCTCTGTATCTGAGTAATGGACAATACCTGTGAATATTCCATGTGTGTTTTAAAATACTACCTCTTTTACCTGGGCTGAGGTATATATCTATATAGATAAACTTTTCATTGTGTTACCCAAATCCTCTGTATTTTATGATTGTCTATTTTATCTGCTGATTTCTGAGAAAGGTTTATTAAAGGCTAACCAAATTATGGTCGATATGTCATTTTCTCAGCTTTTGCTTTATGTATCTTTAGGCTGTGTTGCTGGGCATTTAAAGTCTCTGAGATCTACCCTCTTCGTGGACTGTCTTTTATATTAATAGTAAATATCTCTTTGAGCTTTTTACTTTAAAGTCTATCTTATCTGATATTCATTAATATTCATTAATACTACAATTGTTTTCATTTTAATAGCATTTTCCTGATATATATTTAACCATTATTTTCAATGCTACTTTATTTTAGGTATGTTTCATAAATATCATATAGCCACTTTTGATACAATAAAATTATCTGGCCAGGCATGGTGGTTCATGCCTGTAATCCCAGCACTTTGGGAGGCTGAAGTGGGTGGATCACTTGAAGTCAGGAGTTTGAAACAAACCTGGCCAACATGGTGAAACCCCGTCTCTACTAAAAATACAGAAATTAGCCAGGCGTGGAGGCAGGTGCCTGTAATCCCAGCTACTTGGGAGGCTGAGGCAGGAGAATCACTTGAACCCATGAGGTGGAGGTTGCAGTGAGCAGAGATCATGCCACTGCACTCCAGCCTGGGCAACAGAGCAAGACTCTGTCTTAAAATAAATAAATAAATAAATAAAATAAAATATATTTGATCTTTGTCCTCAGTTCCTGGCACAGAAGTACTAAAGCCATTGGAATGTCCTGAGTCATAGGATGCCTTTTGCTGTTCCACCACACATGAACTTATGCTAGTGAGGTGAGTCAAAGTGGAGCCTACTATAGCTTCAGGATAGGAACTGATCACCAGAAATACTAAAAACATGATTGGAGGATGGGAACTTTCAGCCCCATTCCCCGACCCCCAGGAAGCGGAATGGGATTGGAGATTGGTTTATAAAGAATCTTGAACAAGATTCCCTGAGTTTCTGTGTTGGTGAACACATTGAAGTGCTGGGTGGGTTGGTACACCCCTAGAAGGTATGGAAACTATGCCATCGCCCCTCCCATGCCTTGCCCTATGCATCTTTTCCAGTTGGCTGTTTCTGAATTATATCCTTTTTAATAAACCAGTAAACATAAGCCAAGTATTTTCCTGAATTCTCCAAGTTATTCTAGTGAATCATGAAATCTGAGAAGAGGGTTGAGGGAATGCTCAAATTGGTAGTTGGCTTGGTAGAAGTATGAGTACCTGGGACACCATTTGCAGTTTAAGTGTCTGAAGTGAACGAGCCTTAACCTGTGGGATCTGTGCTAACTTTAGCTAATTAATGTCAGGATTAAACTGAATGGTTGGACAACCAGTTGGTTTCTGAGAATTGGTTGTTAGTGTAGAAAAACCACATTTGTGTTAAAAAAAAATCCTGCATGGCATGCTTCTTCTGTTTTTTCGGTGTTGCTATGTGTCCTTTCATTCATTCAATAGGACATTCAGTCATATTCCACTTTTATGCCTTTTATATTTGCTATTATTTACATGGATTTGGTGTAGGCAGAGAAGATAATAGCATGTGCTCTGAACATCCTTAAATCCAAAATTGATTTTTACTCAGTATACTTTGGTATAATTTGATATCTTCTTAATGAAATATATTTGTAAGTTACTTGTATAAATCAATGATTGAAACAAGTAATTACTTGTATAAGGAAAATGATACCAAATTTTTGTCACCTTAGTCTTATGCTAAGTACCATCATTCTGCTTTAGCTGAAATTCTCATTATGAATTACATTTTGGCTCATTTTCTAGTGTTAAGTAAAGATAAATTAATGGCAAATATGATTTTTTAACTTTATTTTTTTGCCAGGTAAAACAATAGCAAAGTAACATTTTAGCACTCTTCAAAAGTAGTTGGTGTCACAGATACTTGGAAAAGAACCTAAAGACTACCTAGAAAGTTCTCATACAAGGGGTTTGAACAGTGATGAACTGTATCTAGATAAATCCTTATTTTCTTTAGTCATTGGGAAAATATACCAATATAATCTATTTCTTGGAGAAGCCAAGAGTCCAAAGATTGGGTGTATTGTTATCTATGAGATATATTGTTGCAGGTTAGTGCTAACACCCTAACCGATATGGCCTAATGTGGAAAGGAAAGTGAAAACATTGTAGAAGAGAAATAAGTACAGCCTAAGGCTCTGTGAGAGGCACACTCTCCCTATCAGCACACCAGCTTCCAGCCTCATTCATTTCTGTCTTATATATTACAGATGTTCAAAAACATATGTACATACAAAATACATACAGGAAATTTGCCAGAATATGCACACGTAAGATTCAAGACTGGGTTTTAATCTGAAATACTGCATTTTTAAAATCTGGAATTCTGGAAATACTGTGTGTGTGTATGTGTTTCTTACATGAAAGAAATTTCCAAGGGATTATGAACACACACACACACACGCACACACAATTTCTGTACTTGTGAGAAAGTCATATGAGTGTATAATGCTTATTTAAAGGCAACAAAATTCATTTTGAATTCATATTTTTAATCTCAATTCTTAAAATTAAGCATATTTTAAATACTTTGAAACAAATTTCTCCCTGCATTTAAGGTAATTATTTTTGACTATATGCATGTAGGTGGCCAAAAATTGCCTGCTTTTTTTTTTTTTGGAGATGGAGTTTCACTGTTGTTGCCCAGGCTGGAGTGCAATGGTACGATCGCCGCTCACCACCTCTGCCTCCTGGGTTCAAGCAATTCTCCTGCCTTAGCCTCCTGAGTACCTGGGATTACAGGCATGCACCACCACACTTGGCTAATTTTGTATTTTTAGTAGAGACAGGGTTTCTCCATGTTGGTCAGTCTGGTCCCAAGCTCCCAACCTCAGGTGATCCGCCAGCCTCGGCCTCCCAAAGTACTGGGATTACAGGCCTGAGCCACCAATCCCGGCCCCGTTTTTGTTTTTTGTTTGTTTTTGTTTTTGTTTGTTTGTTTGTTTTGAGACAGAGTCTAGCTCTGTTGCCCAGGCTGGAGCGCAGTGATGCAATCTTGGATCTTGGCTCACTGCAACTTCTGCCTGTCAGGTTCAAGCGATTCTCCTGCCTCAGTCTCCCAGGTTGCTGGGATTACAGGTGCACGCCACCACACCCAGCTAATTTTTGTATTTTTAGTAGAGACGGTGTTTCACTGTGTTGGCCAAGCTGGTTTCGAACTCTTGACCTCGTGATCCGCCCGCCTTGGCCTCCCAAAGTGCTGGGATTACAAGCGTGAGCCACCATGCCCGGTCCCTTTTTTTTGTTTTTTATAGACTTTAATACAATGCATTAAGTTTGCCAGACATTCCATTCCTCCTAATTGTGAAGCTTCTTGATGAAGAGGGAGTGTTGGGGCATGGGGTATTCTTTGAAATTTTTTAATAAGTATTGACAAATTATTTCAAATATAATCTTACGGAGCAGTGTTTCATCTATAGATATAAAAATAGATCTATTTGGCTTGCTATTGTCATGTTAATATTTCCTTATATTTTATTTCAACTGCTAAAACAATATGACTAATCAAATAATATTCTATCTTAACTTAGACATTGAGCACTGGGCTCAGGCTATGCCTATAAATCACACACACAATTGACCTTTTAGAGATCAGGTCCTATTGATGTGAGATATCTTATGAATAATATTTTATATTAATAAAATAGTTAACTAGAAACTGACATCAGCTTTATACATCAACATAAGCAAAATAACAAATATGTTTGAAATCTACATATTTTGTAACTTTTAATTAGTGTTCCAAATCCTTAAGCCTTGCAGAAAACATTCATCTCTGATAAGAGTATTTCCCACCAAGTTAATTTATCCAAATTAAGGTAATCTCTTTTCCTATTTTCTTTTACTTGACCAGTTTGGTATTTACAGATTTCTAGGGTATTAACCTCTCAAGTTTCCATGTAGAGAATGTACTTCCTTTCTGCTGAAACAATGGACCTCATGACTCAGTGTTTGCTTTGATCCTGAGTTTGATTTTATCTAGATCTTGCCGCTAGTATTGTTTTGATTAATGATGTGACAGTGCAGAGATTCATTCTCACCATTATTCCTGTTTACTTTCCTCATGTTAAAGTATCTGAGTATAGAAAATCTGTAGAGAAAGAAATTGCGAAAATTAAGAATTTTAGTAAGAGCTCTAGAGCTGTATATCCAGCTTCCTACTCAACACCACCTGGATGTCTAATAGGCTCCATAGACTTCACATGTCCAAAGAGATCTTCTGATTCTCCAGCCCCACAACACTACATGCAACTGAAACCAATAACAGAAAACCTCCACATCCCCTGTGTTTCTTCAGCTCAGTACATGGCATCATCGGCCACCTACTCCTCAATCTCAAATTTCATTAAACAACTCTGATTCTTCTCTCTCTCTTATTTGTAACATGCAGCCCATTAGTAAATTAACTGACTCTTTGCCAAAGCACATTATTCTGACAGCCATTACACCAGTCTGAGTCACTATCACCTCCAGCTTGGATTATTACAATAGCCTACTAGCAGTCTCCTTACAGTGTTTCATAATCTAGCTCTTGCCTACCACTCTGACTTTATTTACTATTAATAGATTCTATTTTTTAGAGTAGTTTTAGGCTCACAGCAACATTGAGTGTAAGATACAGAGATTTCCTATATAGCCCCTGCCTCTACACATGCATACCCTTCTCATTATCAACATCCTTCACCAGAATGATGAACCTGCACTAATGCATTATTATCACCCAGAGCCACAGTTTACATTAGGGTTCACTTTTGTGTTGTAAATTCTGTGGGTTTGGACAAATTTATGATAACATGTATCCAATATCGTAGTATCATGCAGAGTAGTTTCACTGCCCTAAAAATCACTCTTTTACATTGTATTATGCCTCTTTTTTCCTCATACCTCAGCCGCACTCACCTTTGGTCTTTTCCTCTAACTTGGTAAACCCCTTCTTGCTTTGAGGACTTTGTACCTGTTTTTTTGGCCTGGAGTGATTGTCATATTGTCACAAAGTCAGATTCTTCCCTCTATTTACATCTCAGCTTAAATTTCATCTCCTCACAGACCATACTGACCACATAATCTAAAACAGTGTTTTCAGTCACTAAATATTCCCTTGCTTTGTTTTTATCTTAATAGAATATGTCTAACACATATTTTCTTGTTTATCACCTATAAGTTAAAAAAAAAAAAGAGGTGCTTTGTTTTGTTTTATACCATATTCCCCAAGTCAGAAGAGGCCCCAAGTCAGAAGAGGTATGTGGTGGGTGTCCAGCGAATGAATTATTAAATAGATAATAATAACATCCTGGAATCTATGGTCCTAGTGTGCTGAAGCTTGTGATTTATACTTCACAATCTATGGAAACCTTCTACCCTCTCTCTCCCCTAGTGACTATTTTGCCTTTTTTCTCTCTCATTTTCCCTTTTCCTTCTTACTGCATCTATACTTCACATTTCTCTTTACACAGCTTCTTCCTCACTCTACTTCACTATCATTCCTACTCTTCTTCTCACTCTTTGCCCCAAACTGGACATAAAATGTGCCTGATAATTCTTTTAAAAATATTTATTTTACTTGTTGAATAAATCTTTCATTTCCTTGTTCTTAATTTAAACAGCACATGAGCTGAATGTTTTATGTTTCTCTAAGAAAAAGCTATATACATTTTTTTTATTACTTCTGTATGTTGGTGATCCTGGAAAGATGGGGAAAATCTTCCCTACTCCTGCTTCTGTTCTGTTTTAAAGGTTCAAAGTCAGTGTGGCGATTCCTCAGGGATCTAGAACTAGAAATACCATTTGACCCAGCCATCCCATTACTGGGTATATACCCAAAGGAGTATAAATCATGCTGTTATAAAGACACATGCACACGTATGTTTATTGCGGCATTATTCACAATAGCAAAGACTTGGAACCAACCCAAATGTCCAACAATGATAGACTGGATTAAGAAAATGTGGCACATATACACCATGGAATACTATGCAGCCATAAAAAATGATCAGTTCATGTCCTTTGTAGGGACATGGATGAAATTGGAAATCATCATTCTCAGTAAACTATCGCAAGAACAAAAAACCAAAACCGCATATTCTCACTCATAGATGGGAATTGAACAATGAGAACACATGGACACAGGAAGGGGAACATCACACTCTGGGGACTGTTGTGGGTTGCAGGGAAGTGGGGAGGGATAGCATTGGGAGATATTCCTAATGCTAGATGACGAGTTAGTGGGTGCAGTGCACCAGCATGGCACATGTATACATATGTAACTAACCTGCACATTGTGCACAAGTACCCTAAAACTTGAAGTATAATAGTAATAAATTAATTAATTAATTAAAAAAAAGGTTCAAAGTCTTTTGAACGGCTGTAAGTCTGGAGTTTTACTGGAAGAGAATCGTTCTCAGGAAGAAGAGGTACTTAATGAACATTGAAAGTAATCTAGAAATCAACTTCCCACTCTCCTCTCCCTTTCTGGGGTCCACTTCCTAGGGCTAACTACCTGAGACATGAGGATGAGAAGCTGGAGGAGACTCAGAGGGCACCTCAATGGAAGACAACTGTGACTCCAATGACCCAAAGCACACATTGTCACATCCCATGTGCTCAAATATGACACACTTCACTGACAAAGAAGGTTCCTTGGTTTTACTACACTACTTGTCATCAAAATGTAGCTGATTTTCATAGTTTGGAAATAGAATGTATGCTAATGGTCTCATCAGGAAATGTGAATGTCCTGGGTGTTTTGTCTGTTTATGGGGTTCTGAAGAAAAGAGCTGCTCTGCAGAGATGGTAAGCTATTTAACAAGGATAGGTTTTTTAGTTTAAGCCAACAAAGAATTAAAATAACAGTGGATTGCTAGCCAGGATAAAGTAGTCACATCTGATGTGTGTGTGCATGACATCAAAAGAATAGGGAAGAGAGCTTCAAGTATTTACTCTGATACTTTTAAAAATTGTAAGGTTTTAGGTAAATTTACTTCCTTGTTTTTTCCTTGTGTTTTTCTTTCCATAGTATTCAAACAAAATATTGACTCACCTCCCCTAAAATTAGCTATAGAGAATTGCAGATCACTTCTGTGCTATGGGATGCAGGATTAGCTGGGAGGTCAGTTTGGTTTGAAGCATTTCTTAAACCTATCTGACCTTTGAAATCATTTCATTGTTGTTGCATCTCTCAGGACTGGACATTTGGGGAAACTCTACTATAGACCAGTAGAACTCATTTGGTCATTATACCTACCAAATAATACAACTTCAAGAAATAAACTGTACTAAGTAATTATGGACTTAATAGTAGAACAGTATGGAAAGTTACCAGAGTTATCATAATAAAGACCGGTATTAGTAAATTAACTTACTCACTTACCAAGTTGCTTGGTTCTGTTCAGCCTGACTCATCATTCATAAAAACCTTACTCTCATCTTAACTTTTTCAGGGGCCTCATCTACTCCCCTTAGCTACCCTAACCATTCTTTTGAAAGATTCAAACTTCTCCATTGAGCTAAGAGTAGTTGGTCATGTGTTAGTAATTGGTGTCTCTAATCTTCTCTTTGCTTTCTATACTTCAAAAAATTCAAACTACTTTTTAGATGAAAGAGAGGGAGGAGAATATATGGAGAAAGGGAAGTCACCAAATTAAAATTAAACCATATAGTTTGTTTGGTTATAGTCTCAAAATAAACAATGATGGTATTCGAACATAAGGACATCAAATCAATGTTTTCTTGTATTTGTGAAGTTGGTAAGAGGACTTGAAAACTATTTGCCACTCATTATATTCCTAAATTCTTCATTTAAAATGTGAAATGTCTAGGAATATTAGAGGTGACTAAGAAAATTATAAAATATGATATTAAGTCCTGCATGTATTGGAATTGCTAAGATAAAATAAGTCAATTTTGTTTAATGAAGAAAATATTTCAGTTAAACAGGTGGTTTTATTATGAATGCTTGTAACTTTCAACTTTGGATACAGATGTGAATTCTAAGATGTTTTGACAAATAAAAAAATTTGACATGTAACAACTGAGAAAAGTTGTTTATTTATCCGAGAAAGGAGAAAGAAAATTCCTCAAGTGGTTTCCATTCTTTCATGCCAATCAGGATATTCACATGTGAACAGCATGGGTCTTGGGAGGGGAGAGGGGAAAAGGAGAAAAGACAAGAAAAGAAAAGAAAATATTTAAAATTTTGAGTAGTGCACCAAGGACAAAAATATGAACATATGTGTGCTTCTACCCAGACTGTCACATATCTGGAAAGTAAGGTTGAGGCCCCATTAAGAACTGGTCCAAGAAGTAATAGTATCTTACACTTGCAAATGACATGTAACTTACAGATTTTAGCTGTACAGCTGTTGAAGACACCTGCCAGTGCCCTCCAACTCCTCATATTTCTTGCCTCTGCCTCTGCATTATTGAAAGATCTGATCCGATTTCCATGAAGATATTTCTCCCTGTCTATCTAGGATATGGTAACTAAAAATGTATTATTCAGGCCTCATATGCCTTCATTGTAAATGCTGCTTCTTTGTTAGGGGGGAGTAAATTACTAAACACTCATTCAGCAATTTGAAAGCATGAAGCCACTTATGATCACTCCTAATTGTCTATGTAGTTCATCAGCTTCTTCATTCCGGGTTATTAGGTCATCAGAATACAATCTGTCTTTAAATTGAAAGGACTGGTGGTATATCCTTAACGAATACAGCTTTTCTTCAGAGCAATTTTCTCCAGTGTCCCTGACTTTGACATGGAGAAAGAGGTCTTGATGGCTGGACTCCCCAGGCATGACCCACCTGAGAGCTCCTTCTCAGGTGGGCATCACACTCAGTTCTTTAAAAGCTCTCTGAAGACTGTAACCCTCCAAACCTAAGCTTCGTGGGCTCCAGGATCAGAGGGCTCATTCATTCATTCTGCTCTGTGCAAGGCAGTCCATGCTGCAGTCATTGGGCATATATGAGAGTATAAAACAGGCAGAAATTTGTTCCTTCAAGGAGCTGATGTCCTAGTAGATGCCATAAATAAATAAGAAAAGTACATAGCATGTTAGAAGTGATAAGAGTTAAGAATAAAAAAATAAAAGAGAGAAGAAAAATGTAAAGTATCACGGTGGGGAGAGTGCTAAAATTTAGTTAGAGTGGCCAAGGAAGGCCTCTCTAAAATATTACTATAGTGGATACTGTGGTGTGTCCTGCAGATCCCCCTTCCAGGCTAGACACATGTTCCCCCAACTGGCCGAGTGCTGGTAGCTGCCAGATCTCAGCTGAGTTACTCTCAGGGAATTACCTTCAGAAAAATCTCTTGACCGAGGTCCTACCTGCAGGTAGCCCACATTCAGTGATTGGTGGGGAGGGGTCCTAAAGACCAAGTGCCTTTGTTTCAGGTCAGTAAAATATTAAAAGGTCATCCCAGCATCAGAGCTTCCATGAAATAGACTGAGGCCTTGGCGTGACTGTATCACAGTTTATCTCTTTCCTCTTCACAGGAACTGGGATCACAGCTTATAAGAATCTCAGGCAAAATCCTTCCTGTGTTCCACTCTCCTGAACTATTCTAATTGGCAAATGTGAGGAGCAGGTAATACAATAAGGAGTGATGCAGACTATGGTAAACTGGAGGGTACATGCCCAGTTTAACAGGGAAAGTCAACATCCAGCACCAGCCAATTCGTTACCAAGCCAAAATGGGAGCCTGATGTTGCCAGATCTACCCACTTTATCTGGATTAAAATTAAAATTTTAATTTATTTTAATGTAAACACTCTGAATTTTAGATGTTTGACAACTAAATCAAATTTTTAAAAAGCACTGCATGTCAAACTGCAGCTGTGGTTCATAGTTCACTGGGAAGCTGCCTGTTTGGGCCTTGACACTGATAGGAGATTTAGAGATCTTCACACAATTACCATTTGAAACCTGAGCTGGCTACTTTTCAAATAACCCTGCACATAACGTATCACCTCTTCCTTGAGGAATTTGTACATATGTATTTTCCCCACTTGCCTTTGGAGAGAATAATTGGGTTATATCTCTGTATCCCTCCAGCCACTATCACAAAGCTTTACATATGGGAGATACATGTACATGTTTGTTCAATAAAAAGAACAAGAAATACCATAGATTTTTAACCTCCCATAGATTTTTAATCTCCAGTCCTGTTTTAAGCATTTCAGGTTACAATATTATGGGAAAAACAAAGTAAAATGGGTGTAAAAATCAGTCTTTGCAGAAGAGGTTTCCATTAAGTTGACACCAAAGGGCTTCTTAATAAAACTCTCTAACTTTGATTTAAATAATAAATCAGAATTGGTTTTCTGCTACTGTTACCTAAAGTGTGGTTAAATTTTGGTAATATAAATTGCTAACGTGTAAGTCGCAGCATGGTGTATACTGAGGTATAATTACAAGAACGTGGAAGATTAATATTTATATATGATAGGATTAAATATTATATGCTGAAAGTGTCTCTCTGTGGTAGCAGTATAGCTCAGATTATAAAGATATCCTGAACCACTCTTGAAATCTTTTTTAACAGAAGAACTTCCAAATATCAATACATGTGTTTAGCACATTTTAAAATAAATTTTATTTTATTTTGGATTTAGAGGCTACATGTGCATGTTTCTTATACAGGTATATTGCATACGGGTGCGAATTGGGTTTCTAGCATACCCATTGCTCAAATAGCAGGCATGTACCCAGCAGGTAATTTTTCAACCCTCCCCGCCTCACTCCCTCCTTGTTTTGGGAGTCCACAGTGTCTCATTTGGCACATTTTACTAACATTGTTACTAGCAGAAAAAGCCTCTGTGTTTTGCTATTTATAAAGCACTTTCATTTGCCTTATCTCATGTAATACAACTATCTGCATGTGATATGGAATTAGTGAGATTATTTGCAAAAATCATATTTTATTTACAAAAAAAGCAAATTTCACATTGTGCTTTGTTAATCAGGTTATGTATTCAGGCACTTAGTAAAACTTTTAGCAAAACAAATAAAGATCAAAAAGCTAAAAAATACTTCTCTAATACTATTAGAAAAATCAGAGTAGAATTTTTTATAAGCTTAGTATGGGGAGGATTTTTCTCAGTAAGAAATGAGATTTAGAAACCATAAAAAAAACCTGGCAGTTTTTATTACTTAAAAATTAAAAACTTCTGTATGGGAAAGGCAGCAATACATACACATTTAAAAAACAACTGTGAGAAAATATTTCTTTCTGTCTCTCTCTTTTTTTCTCTCTCTCTTTTCTTTCTTCCTCTCTTCCTTCTCTCTTTCTTTCTCTTTCTTTTTCTTTCTCTATTTGATGACAGATGATAAATCTATCATCTATCTACCTATAAATTTATCTATGCTTCTATTTATCTAATCTGTATCTCAGATTAACAAAAATAATAAATTAACAAAAGTGTTAGCCAAGTAATTAGAGTATTAACAAAAATAATAAATCCAGAGTTACTAGCAATACAGAAGAAATAATTAAGCCACCCAGATCATGGGAAAGGAGATGAAGTGGCAAGTCACTGAATAAGAATAAGTAAGCTACAAACAATTGAAAAAGTATTTAATCTCAATAGCAATCATTCAAATTAAAATAATAATAATGTACTTTTAATTTTTTTCTATCAAATAAACAAAAGTTTAAAAGCTTGATGATACTGAGTATTGGCTAGTATTTGGGCAAACAAGGGGTCATACATTGTTTCAAGGAATATAAATCGGCACAAACTCTTTACAAGGCAATTTGACAGTATTTGTAAAGATAAAAATACACATATCCTTCCATCTGTAATTGTAGTTTTAGGAATTTATCACACAGAATGATTCCCTGTAAGTGTTCTGAGATGTCTATACGGCATGCAGCATTCAGCATTGTCAGCAAAACACTAAAACAACTGACATGCCTGTCAGTAGCAGACTGGGTACACTATGATTCAGCTATTATACAAATAATACAGCTGTATCTACATTCACCAACATGAAGAGATATCTACAATATAGTGAGTGAAAGCATACAAACTATAGAAAAACATTCAATTTTTAAAAATTAGAAAATATTTCTATATGCATATATGTATTTAAAATACCTTAAAAATATAAGAAGCATCCAAAAAGAAAAACATGATAAACATGATGAACTCTGGATAGTGGGATTAGGGAGGAACAATTTTTAATCTTATACTCTTCTAATAATTTTCATTATTTTTAACAACAAAGATTCTGCTTTTTCATTGTATGCCCCTAGTGAGAATGCTGTTTTATTAGACTGACCCTCAGCATGCAAACTTGTATACCATATAAGTTTCATGTCATAGACATCCAATTATTTTTTTAATGAAAAGTCTTTGGGGGAAGGACTGGTGGGGGGGAAATGTTGACTTGGGGAATCACTGGGACCTATGGGGACATTGTCCTATAGAATCAGAAATGGGACTCTGAATTTCTAGAGTGGGATTCAGGCTTGAGAGGTATATGAGGGAGCTACTCCTACATGGATAGTTGTAAGAAATGAACAGAAATAAAGGGAACCTTAAATATCTAAAAGTTTAAGAGCTCAACATGGACATAATTTATTTCTTAGACACTTCATCTAAAAGTATTTAGAAGGAGTTGATATAGACAATATATAATATGTTAGTACCAGCATTATTCCTGCCTAAAGTAGGCAAAGGCCTCTGTCCCACTACATGGGCAACGCCCGCTGTCTGAGATTTAAGAGCTAGTTTGATTATATAAGATATTGTAAAAGTCATCCTCTTTTCTAAAGAACAACTAAAGCATTTTAAAATATAGCTTACTATTGCCTGAACTCATCTCTACTGTGGATTAAATTATTACTCTTCAAATATCACTACATACAATAAAAGCCAAATAAGCTCTGAGTCATGCATATCAACATGTTTTATAAAGCACATCAGACACTATTATGTTATGTGTTCCCTGGATTCTCAACAAAGCTTTGAGGGATTCGTATTATTTTATGCCCATTTTACAAATAAGAAAACTGTATGCTGTCTAAGGCTACATAAGTAATAATACGGCCAGGGTTTGAACCCAATGTTTTAGGGAAGCAATTTGGTATAGCAGAAAAGGCCTAGACTTCTAGGCAGAAAGAAATGAAAAATTTGCTTGATGACAACAAAATAAGCTGTGTAACTAAGAAAGAACCACTTCTGCTGTTGTAGGTTGTAAGATCAGGTAACAATACTGCTATATTGGTACCTCATCATTCTGTAACTGTGAATTGGCCAGGTAATATATACTGTCCTTTATGGATGAATCCAAGAATATTTTCTCAGATAACCTTTATAGCATGTCTTGAGACAGAGTCATAAGAAATCCTGGCCACAAAGCCAGTTACTTTCCTGCTTAACAAACTTAATACATCCGTGGAATTTACTGTTGTACTCTGCCACTGAGGCAGTCCTAACGTAGGAACACATGCAGAGATGATAAATTTGTGAGTGTGTCTGGTAGAAGAGCTGAAACAGATGTGCAGAGTGAAGGACATCAAAGTTAAAACAATTACCATCTCAACAAATGGGTAGTTCTTCCAGATACAGGCTTAGCATTTTTAAAAGACCTGGGAACCCATTATATCATACTGGCAAATCAGAGGTGGTATATTTGGATGTGAAGCATTTGTAAATCACTAAACCAAACCAAAACAAAGATGAGTGGCCATTAGTTGTTTTAAAAGATACTATCATTCAGCAGCAAATGTCATGGCATATATTCAAATCATCTGGAGGAACAGTCATTTTTTCTCCTACCTTCCATCCCCTTCCCCAGCTGCCTCTCCAATATGGAAACATCTGCCATTGTTGTCTTGGCAAGGTTGAGAGTTTGGGCCAGCAAAGACCAGTCGTCTACTGCCAGGAAATGTTGACAATGGAGAAAACAGTGAGTAAATCTGTGGAAATAGCCAGGTATAGGGGTAGATGTGGCTGGGTGCAGGGCGCAGGTATTTCTGGTTGGTATGTTTCATTCAGATGCTAGAATTAAAAACAGTTTCAACAAAAAAAATCACAACCACTTAATGTTCTGCTTTGCCTGTCACATACAGAGGAGATTTGAAAAGCATTTTTTGTTGTTAAGTGATTATTACGTGGTTTACTATAAGGTTATTAAAATATATAGGGCCTGGATTTAATAAATTAATAAATAAACAAATCATGGTACCTTTGACTTTGCATATAGGTATTTTCATATGAAATATAAATGGACCAAAACATAACTTTAAAAACATATTTTATTTTCTCTACCTATAGCTTCATTGTCTTATCTTGAAAACCTCAATAACTGAAAAGACTTGTGCCCGAGATTATTTCAGAGTCCTTTGCCTGAGAATGGTATTTATTTGGCATTTTAGTAGCTTTTAAATTCTTGTGCTCCTGTTTAACAATCTTTAAGAAAGTACAAACTACTTCTCTGTTTTTCTGACAAATCATAAATTGCCTAGATAGAAAAATAGCATTATAATGTATTAATAGCTGATGGCTGTTCAATATCAGATCTGAAGACTCTGATTTTTCATCGTGTGCCCCTAGTGAAAATGCTGTTCTATGAAAATGACACCTCAGCATGCAAACTCATACTCCATTATGACTTCCCTGTCACAGACACACAGCTTACTGGTTCAAAAAAAGGGTGTTGTTATGTGCTGCGCTACTGGAATTGAATTAAATTATTAAACACAAGCTGCCAAAGAAATAATGGTGCCGCTGAATATTTCTGTGGCTTTGCTGGTGAGCCTCTGTGTTCTTTAATGTTTGGTTGCAATTACAAGAATTCTTCAAAAGGGATGACAGCAGTTTTGAGTTGCTGTCTCCAAGAATAAAGAATATGCTGTGTAGCAAGGGGAATAATTAAGTTTTGACTCTCATTTCTAAAAAAAGATATAAATATAATTTAGTATGTACATTTAGAAATTGTTCTTTTAATTTCTAGGGTTCTGAGGATATATAGTGAAGTGGTTTTTTTTGTGTGTGGCCATATGGAATAATACCACAGGGGCAGAGTTTCTTGACCTAAGTGGTCATGTATTGGACTGAAGCAATCACTAGTTTGCCAATTGCATTTATCTTGCCAGTGCTTTCTTATATCAGGCGGATTCCATGTGTGGAACATCCATGTGAGAATAGACTAGCATACTGTAGCTTTGTGTTCTAATTTCCCCATTTATGTATGCCTTACAGATAAGCCAAGATATTTAATACATTGATTAAATGGCATATTGAATTGTGTTGAACTCATGGACAAATAGATGAGTAAAGATAGAATCTGTATCCCCACTCACCACTGTTCTGAACTTGAAATATTTTGTTCAAAGCAGGCTGTGTAGAGTCCTGAGGGACCAACTCAGGATACAAATTTAGCATGCACTTTAAACTTTGATTGCTCTATCTTTCAAGCTGAATTTAAATCTCATTAATTTTTACTGGAAGCACAATAGTTAAATATCTTGCAGATGTAGCTTGTGTATTTAAAATTCCTTAGAAGGTTTCCATTTAGGGTTTTTACTATATTAGCTTGATCTACTGTGCATGGCAATATGGCATATGCATTTCTCTCAGGATGTGCAACTTGATTTCATACTGTGGAAAAATCCAGAGCGTAAAATATTAGCATGAACAGTGTCAAGTGTCAATGCTAATTCTTTTATTACTGTGACATTATTTAAGGACAGCAATCATTCAACTATTTTAAATGATAGATATTAGGACTTGAACAATAGCTATGTGACCAGCTAAGACATGTCCTTGGAGAGGACAAAGTTCCAGAAAGTTCTAGAAAGATGACAGATATATATCTAATCATAGATTTCTCCTGCTTGTGCAAGATTACAGGGGACACAGCTGTTAACACCAGTGAATGAAATCAGAATGTAACATTTCAAAATTGTTGCATGTATGTTACAAAACAAACTTGCTAATATTCCTGATTACAGGCTAAAAGTATTTATTTCCAAAGAAGTATGGTTACCTTCATTCTTTAGCAGACCCACATATTTTAGCACTTAATGAAGATGCCTTACAAGATGACAAAAACATATTTAATATTAATATTTGTGACTTCTAAATGATTGAAGAGTTGAAGTCTTGTTTTTGAAGGAAAATTATTTAAGAGAAAAATATTCTAGGTTACATTGCCTATTTAAAAATCTATGCTAAATATAAATTTCTTGCAGAAAATGTAGAGTAAAAGAAAATTCCACACAACTGGTTTTCTCTTGGATTCAAATTTTTGAATCCTGAATGTAGGAATAGAACAACAAGACTCTTTTCAAATACTTTATGGAAAGACTATAATATAATCAGTGGAGGGATGCAGCAATAATATTTTACTTTATCACAGTATTTTCACTGTTGACAGCACTGTCACCTATACTATTTATGTTCTCAAAACACATTCAGAATGAAGGTATTTATCACAATTTAAAGTTCTAGAAGTAACAATTCATTTATTCAGTGAATGCTTTTGAGTGTCAAGTAAGAGCACTTAAAAGCTACTGGGTTAGATGTTGGACGTGAAAATACATTACACATTGTGTTAGTGGAAAAAGATAAATATAATTTTCTAGCTTCTACAACCAGGGCAAACACAAGAGGTAGCAGGACAGCTAATCTGCCTACTGGAGTAAGGACTTTGGTGCATGCAGAGAGGCTAAGGAGAGGCTAATTGTCAGTAACAACCTGAAGGACCCTGGAGTCAGTGGGTCAGTGGGCAGGTGGGGGTGTGGCAGACTAGACAGGGAAGCCAAAGGCCAGAGCTGTCAACAAAGATGACATGCTAGGAACTACAGGAAAGTCATTGTGGCCAGAGCACAGAGTTTGATTTGAGGTGAAACTGTGCTTGAAGCTGGGATCAAACCATGCAAAATCTTGTGTGCTTTGCAAGAAGGTTAGATTTAATTCTGTAGGTAAGAGACAGCATTGAATTTTGAACAGAGGAATAACATGCTCAGACTTGAATTTTCATTCTGGCACTGGACTGTAGAGTGGATGGGAGGAAAACAATCTTGAATAACTTTTGAATTCTGGCTTGGGTGGATTTTGGTGCCATTGCTGGTGAGGATGGTGAAAGAGTGAATGATATGGTGAGATCAATGTGAATGTGCTGAGATTGGCAGGAGGAAGAAAGGTAAGGTTTCTAGTGGTCACGTTTTAGTAAGAAGCTAGCCTGAAATGGTAATGAATATAAAAATTAACTAGTTATGAAAATCACCACAACTGGAGAAGTCATAGGCTACCTGTCATTTGGAGCTGGGGATCCCAACCATGAAGAGTAAGAGGAGTAAGTGTTAAGACTAGAGCCAGACTGCCTGGGTTCGGATCTTTACTTTCCTACTTACCAGCTCTATGGCTGAAGGCAGCTCAATGACCTTGGGCAGATTACTCTCTGTGCCTCAGTTTCTTTAACTGTGAAATGGGGATAAGAATTGACCTTAAAGAGGATTAAATGAGTTCCTAAAACTTTCATATTTTATTCAAATGTAAAGCACTTGGGACATTATTACCATTATTATTATCTTTATTATTCCTCTCTCAAGCCTTCACACTGGGATGACTGTGTGGCCCATTGGACTACAGTGGTTCAGTTTTGTTCTAGTTGAACTGAGGAATTTGATAAGAGGTGGGATGTTCTTATCTCCAACTCAAAACTCTTTTATCTACTTCGTGAGAACATGGGTTAGCAGCCAGGCCAATTTGAGGAAAGCTTGTAGGTGGCTTTGGGAATATAGAATCAGCTTGGCAGAGCCTATCTTACTTGAAGGACTGGAGTTACCTCACAGAATTGGCTAAAGAGAAAATGGGGGAGGTGGGGCAATAAGCTGTTCCAGCAGAGGCTGCTGGAGGCTGGGTAAATGGTGACACAGCTCTAGAATCCTGTGGTGAGAAATGGCCAGACCTTTGAGTGTCCCCAAGGCATTCCACCTTGATGACTCACCATTCCAGGCACACTTTCTGGGAATCTGAATTAAAATCATGATTTAATATTTTGCTTATTCAAATTTAACCTAACCTTCAAGATTCAGTTCAAATCTTGCTTCCTCTATAAATCCTTGCTTGGGTACCCTAAACTAAAATAATCTCTCCCTTCTATTAAATATTTTCATTGTGCAAAATATTGCAAAAATGGATAGAAAGAAATATAACATTTGTTAAAAGCCTGCTAGTTAAGCACAATTTAAGAATTTTGCATGTATAATTTTATTTAATTCCAACTGTGGGATAGTTTTAATAATAATTGCACATTGCTTGTGAATTTCTTCATTGTTGTCTTCAGTTATTTCTTGTATAGTTTATATTTTATTTACATAATGCATTTTTCATTTTTATTTATATACTTTCTGCGAGCTTATTCCTAGAGTATTACAATCATAGAGCAGGAAGCTTATGTTTTCTTTTTTAGAACTTAGTGCAGTGTGATGCTCTTTGATTTGCTCTAATAGGATCAGGGCTGTCATGCTGTACAACTCCAGAGGTTTTCCATTTACCTGGTGGTCTGTGTGTATGGGGCTCCTGGCAGCTATGTCGTGTGCAGTGCATTTGCATTGATACTGGATAACATGCTGTTGGACCTATTAGTGAACTGAAAAGCTATGCTGGAAAAGGACTGGTGAGTTATTTATCTATTGGTTTGTTTCCCTGTGGAAGACTGAGCTCTTGGCAAGCAGGGCCTAGGTGATTCTGGTCCTGCCCTATCTTTCATAGCACTTAACACAGGGCTTTGCTGAAACAATATCTATAAATGATATTTCTTTGAGAATAGGGCAAGGGGGCTGAGCCAAGGTGGCTTGGCCACCCTACCTGTGCTCTTTCTTTCTTCTGCTCTTAATAGTAGGATAAATGGCTTTCTTGCACTACGGAGTTGAAAGAAATAACCCTAAACACATTTAAGAGAAGATGGATAGAAAATGAACTCCACGGACTGTTACAACTCGTTTGTCCCTCACATATTACAAGATAAGACTAGGCAGGCCAGAGAGGTTAAATGATTTACCCAAGGTTACACAGCTTGCTGGCAGTGGAGCCTGGTCTAGTTTATAGGTCTCTGACTCCCAGTTCAGTGCTTTACCATTACACACTGTCAGAAAGAATATTATGAAATGATTTCTTTTAAAGGAAAGGAAATTCGCATTGGATTTTACAGATTGTTTCCAAATAAATGTATTTTAGATTTCTGAAATTAACCTAACTAAATTAACCTAATTTCTGAAATTAACACCCACAGATTTTTGGGTCTTTAGTTATGTATCAACATATGGAGATACATCTCTAAGCCTTTACATTTCTGATCAAAATTTATTCTTACATATAATGCTGAACTGATTTAGAACAATTGCCTTTGTTGAAAGAAAAGCAATTTATTTCATTCACATCAATAAGATGTAATTGTATGTACAGTGAGCTGCGCTCACCCGGGCTAATGAATATTCAACCAGTAGTGAGAGGAGGGCGCCCCTGGAATGATTACTAGGGTCCCTTTCTGATTTACCATCGCACCCAAGAGTCAGGCAGGGACAACACAGCTTTCTCTTCCCAGCTCGATAGCTGGGCCCCGTGGCTCCGCCCACCCTGACGCAGGGGCCCGCCTGTCTGATTTGGGGGCTCTGGCAAAAAGCCTGAGCCCATTGATTACAGATCGCTGTTAATAAAGAGCATTTGTAATGCAGCAGTGGCGAGGCGGTCTCCGCACGCCGGTTCATGATGGCCCTTCAGGCTCCACAATTAAGTCGTCCAGCAGGCATGCCCCCTGTTGCAGCTGCTCTGTCAATCTCATTTTGGAGCACAAATGATCTTAGACCCGGTGTTTGACATGGGGTTTTAACACCAAAGAAGGCAATTCTGCAACTTCAAATGAGCCTAATTGGCTGAGCGCTCGGGCGTTCACTCAAGCTGCTTCAGTCCATCAGAGTGAGATTTCCAGCTAATTGAACTGCTCAGAAGGAAAAGGACCACGAGGAATCAAGAGGTGCCAAACCATTGGAGAGGGTGGTATATATTTTTTTCATGATAGCAAACTTAAAAATACATTCCTCCTCCTTAATCAGCCACCCGTCAACATAAAAAAGGTAGTTATCACAGCAGATGCTCACAAAGTTATGAACTAAAATTGAGTTGTTGCTGTTAAGAGTGTAAATGTACATGTGTTGCTGATAAAGGACATTTCAAAACACTTGGTCTGTAGAGCATTTTTCTGCATCACTCTCAAGGCTACCCTAAATAAAATCATGCAAATCTTAGCTGTGTGCCGAGGACGGAGGAAACTAATTAAAAGTGCCTCAGTTAGAGTCAATGTGTGCCCATCCATCACCACTTTCTGTTTTGATTCTTCTGTTAAATGGGGATCATATGGGGAGAGATGTAATATCTATATCTGTAGCTTTATCTATACCTGTAACCATATTCATATCTACGTAGCTGATATATCCATATCAATATCTATGTATATTTCATCGGTAACCCAGAATAAATATTATTCTGTGGACAATGACAATTTATATTGCAATAATAAGAGTATGATGAATAATCATTTGTACAACTCTTTGTGAAATATTGGTATAGTAACATGTTAGGTAGGATCTTGGAACCAAGGGAATTGATTTAATGTAAGTTTTTCCAAACTGAAGCATTTCTTAAAAACGATTAATTAATAACTTTTTAGGGGGTTCTGAGTTCAACACACATACGTCTAATTTACACAAATCTGGTTTTACATAAGTTGGTGCTAGTTGAAAATAATTAAGGGGAGTTATGAAGAAGACACAAAAAGATTTAGGATGGGCTCAATTTTATATAGATATGTTACTTCAGGTATTAAAAGAGAGGATCCAGGAAATATTTTACTACGTATTTTAAGATATGCAGGCAGTGAGTGAAATATGCTTAGCATCAGCCAATTTCCAGCCTGGTAGTATGTAGTATACATCTTATGGTGCCCAAGTCTAGGGTCTAAGGGAGAATACCTATGTTCAGGCTCAGTATTTTAAGTCTTTAGAGTTGTTCAATTGAGTTCCACCTCTGCTTTACTTTGTCACCTTTGGTAAGCCATTCAGGTCTCCTTGGCCTCAACTTTTTCATTTTAAAAAACAGCAGGACCAAGTATGCTCTACCAGCATTATCCTGAGGCTGCCTGATGAAAAGGGTGAAATGGTGAAATGGTTTCTTCCCATTTAATCTCTTTACTGGTGGAACCTGTAAGATTTTATACCCTGTATATAGTAACATTTCTATTCAAAACCCAAAAGAGATTATATCCTCTTCAATTCCCCACTCAAGGCAGATTTAGCAAGTAATCCTGTTTCAGAATTTGTCCAATTGAGATGAGTGAGTTTTGGAATCAGCATTGTGATACCTGCATGCTTAGAGTTCCAGACCAATGTGGAATGATGTTTTGCTCAAATAAGGTAACTCTCTAAAGGCTGAGCTGGCAGTAGAAAACCCAAACTTTTCTTAAATTTAATTTTTATTTTTATTAAAGTAATAAATGTACATAGCTAAAAGGTCAGCTAGCACTTAAAAGCTTGCACTAACGGTTACAACCTCTACCCAACCCCACTCTCCCCTAATTCCTGCTTTTCACAGGCGACCACTTGCTATTCTTGGAGCTTCTTCAGCATTATCACCTCTAATTTCTAAGTAAAATCCTGCCTCAGCATCCATGGGGAATTGGTTTCAGGGCCTCAATTCGATATGGCCCAAACTCAATATGGATACAAAAATCTGTGGATGCTCAAGTCCCTTGTATAAAATGGTGTAGCATTTGCATATAACCTATGTACATCCCCCTTTATATAGTACTTTAAATCACCTCTAGATTACAGATAGTATCTTATGCAATATAAATAATGGTTATAATGCATTGTATGGGGAATAATGATTTAAAAAAGTCTACATATGTTCAGTATAGACACAACCATTGTAGGCCTATCTACATTTTCCACCTGCAGTTGGTTGAATCTGCAGATATGTAGGGGAAATTGTAATATTGTCTAGTATTTCTTGATCCGTCCATTTTAGACACAATCTATTATTAATTTCTTGTTATGGAAGATGAGAAATTATTTTATGCCTTTCTTAACTTTCCTATCTCAACCTTCCATCCTCCTAGTATATCTAATTTTTTTTGTTAAATCAATAATGTACATTTTGATAACTAGGCAAATCCATTAATATAATGTGGCATAATTATTTTTACTCCCTTGAACACCATTTTATTTTCCTTGAAGTCAAAATTGACCTCATTTCCCCCTTCATTTATTTATTAGTCTGTTTGTAATGGGTTTATTGAGATATAACACAAAATTCCTGTGGTTGAAGTGTATAATTTAATGTTTTTTAGTATATTTATAGCGTTTTGCAACCATCACCCTAAACTAATTTTTGAACATTTTTAACGCTCTGAAAAGAAAGCTAGAACTCATTAACAGTCACTACCCCCTCTCCTTTTCCAACCATTCTGGTTGTAGGCATACACTAATTTCTATTTTATCCCTATAGATTTATCTATTCTGGACATTTCATATAAAATGGAATCATATGATGTGTAGCTTTCTGTGTCTGGCTCCTTTCACTTAGTATAATGTTTTCAAGCTTCATCCAAGTACCATATATCAGTACTTCATTCCTTTTAATTGCAAAATAATATTCCATTTTATGGATATACATAGATTTTCATTCATCAGCTGATGGACATTTGGGTTGTTTACACTTTGACAATTATGAACAATGCTGCCCTGAACATTTATGTATCCTCCATTTATTTTTACTTGTAAAGTTTCCTTTTTCTCCATCCTTATTTTTTTCTATATGTGCTTTCATATCTGATATATGACTATTACAGTTTTTTTTCTACACTGTTCAAATATATCAGATAAAATTTTCCCCCTTTTCTTCTGGAAACCTTTCATGTGGGCCTTCTTTTACCTTCTCTAATCTGCATGGTTACCCTGAAATCTGCTATATAGCTTTCTTACTGGAACATTCTTACAACGAACTCTATGCCACAGCCCCTATTTCTTGGATCCTGTGTCAATTTCTTTCTCAGTTGAGCCCCACCCCCCCCACGGCCCTGCCCCCTTCCCCCTATAGCTGAAGCTGTGTGGAGCATGTGAAGGCACCTGGTCCAACTGCTGTGTATATACACATGCTTTCAATTGACTTCTCTTCATCCTCCTCCAGTCCCTGAGCCTCCTGGGATTCCCAGGTGAATTGGCTCACTTCTCATTGGCAACCCCTCTGTTCTGCTTTCATCTCCCAAATATGTATACAGATGTCTCCTCTTTAGTTCTCTTTGTCCTTAAGATATTATATTTCCCTTGTCCCTTCACTATCATCGTGAAATGGATGGTCTTTGGAAAATGAGGAGGTAAATGGGTGGAATGGATGTCTGAGTGGGGGCTCAGACTTGATTTTAATAATTTAGTGTGGTTCTTCCAAAACCACTCTTTTTCACTCATAGGCTTACTGCCAGCTGGACAGTGTCAACCCTATCTCCTCTCCTTGGGATTAGAATTTTAATTTTTTTTAAAAAATAATTGTTAATGTTTATTTTATGTTGCCTATTTGTGCTTGTAAATCCTACATATTCTTAAAAATTATGAAAGCAAAAAATAAACTATCTATGGCTCAAAAATGGGTAGATATGGAGCAATCCTAAGAGGTACTGAAAGCATTTAGAATGGAAGGGAGCTTAAGGGAACAAGGCCTAACTCCACCTCTCAGGAATGAGAATAGGTTCAGTGAGGTCACCTGACGTTCTCTGGGTCCCACAGGTAATAGGTGACAGAGTCTCAAGGAGAATCCAGGTCTCCTGACTCACTCCAGTGAACCTCCTCTCCTGACCACTGCCTCCCATATTGTCCCTTGCCTTTACTGTGCCTCTCCTATTCCTGACAATATGCTGGTAAGGACCTCAGAGAGGAATCCTGCAACCTCTGTAGGAACACATTCCAGCACCTAGTGATCCCGTGAAAATTCTTTTATATATAAAATATAACAAACCTCTCTTTGCTCACAGTTAAAGCTTTTTTTATTTCTACCATGTTTCCTTAGTAGGGATGTAGAGTCTCTGGTACAATTAGTTTTGATGATTATCAAGTCTTTCCTCATTTTCTGTGTCTTCATGATTAAAAATGAGGTAAATAATACCCAGCACTCAAGGTTGTGAAGATTAAATAAAGTAACACGTGAGAGTGGCTACTATAAAATCTGGCACCCTATAAATACCAGAGTTCATGCTTTATTTTCCTTTAAAGTAAAGCTGTCATATGAAACCTTACATTGATATAAGGCAGGTATATGACATATCTAGGGCCATTATTTGCTTACTATGGAAAATGTTATGGAATTCCTTTGAATAAACTTTGACTTACGAACATTTTGTCAGTAAGCTTCTAGGTAAAGTTCACTCATAAGAATCTAGTTAGTAATGGATATGAGAGGTGAATTTCAATGAGGTGTTTCTGTGGGTGTGTTTAATTCTGTTTCTCAGCCCCCCTGCACTGAGTCATGCCCTGCATTGCCATGCTGATTGCGGTATTTCCCATCAGCATAAATTGTTGTGTCAACCAATTGCCTCTGTTTGGTATTTTGTTTTTCCAAGGTAGCCCATGTTTAGGAAAATTGTGTTCTAAGATTGTTATCTCTTCTTTATTCTTAAATAGCTTGTTCTTGATTTTGGGGAATTCTTTTGTAGTTTTTTTCCCCTTTGGGGATGTATGCTTAAATAATGACACTGTGCCAGTTTGGAGATCCATAAAGCTAAAAAGAGCCATAGATATCAATTAGCTTTTATTTCATAGATGAGAAAACTGATACCCAGAGAAGGGGAGTAACTTGCCCAAAGTCCCACAGCTGATTTACAGCCCAGCGCTCCTGACCTCTAGTCTTGCCCCCTGTCTTGACTGCATCCTGCTGAGCTGTACTCCATTTGTTCCAAACTATTATTGTTGCATATCTGAGTCATTAAAAATTCTGTCTTCAAGATTCATTTAGATAATTAAGTTAACATATTTAAATTTTAAAATAAAAACATCTATTTAAAAGTACAAAATGTATCGTAAATCTCTAAATCATTTATTTCCCTTCAAAATGTTTTATTTTGAAGAATCTCAAACCTACAGAAAAGTTGAAAGAATAGTACAGTGAATACTGTATAACCCTTTATTAGGATTAATTGTTGTTTTTGCCACATGTCTGTATACAATATATAAAGTGTGCGTATGTGTGTGTGCATGCATGCATATCCAAGTACTTAGCATGCATGTCCTAAGAACAAGCATATTGTCTTACATAATCACAATATCATTATTACATCTAAGTAATTTAACATTGATAGAACAACATTATCTAATAACAAGTCCTTTTCAAAAGTATCCAGTTGTCCCAAATAAGCTCTTTATAGCTATGTGCTGTGTTCAGTTTTTGTCATCATTGGCTATGGATGTGTAACAAATAAACTCCAAACTTGATGGCTTAAAACTATAACTATTTATTTATTTATTTACTTACTTACTTACTTACTTACTTACTTATTTATCACATTTCTGTGGGCTGACAGGGTTAGTTCTTCTTGAGGTAGTATCAGCTGGGGTCACTCATTTAACTACATGCAGCTGGCAACTGGAAAGTTCAAGCACTCTCCAGCCAAGTCCCTTGGCTGTGGACTGGTATCACTCCTTAGCCTGTTAGGAACCAGGCTACACAGCAGCGGGTGAGCGGCAGGCGAGCAAGCATTACCGCCTTAGCTCCACCTCCTGTCAGATCAGCTGGAGGCATTAGATTCTCACAGGAGCATGAACCCTATTGTGAACTGCATGCAAGGGATCTAGGCATTGTGCTCCTTATGAGAATCTAATGCCTGATGATCTGAGGTGGAACAGTTTCATCCTGAAACCATGCCCCAGCCCCGTGGAAAAATTGTCTCCCTTGAAACCAGTCTCTTGTGCCAAAAAGGTTGGGGACCACTGTCTTAAGGGCTTATCTGAAAACAAGGTCCATTGCCTTGTATTGGTCATAGCAGGTCAAAAAGCCAGCGCAGGTTCAAGGAGGGACATGGACTCATCTCTTGATAAGAACAGAGTGCATGTATAGGGAGGAGAGGGTAGGGGTTACTGGCAACCATCCTTGGAGACTACCTACCACATCTTTTCTTTTTTAATGTCTTTCAGGACATTGACATTTTTGAAGAGCTCATGCCAGTTGTTCAGTAGAATTTTTACAATCTAGATTTGTCTACTTCCTCATTATTAGATTCAAATTAAACAATCTTGGCAAGGACCTCACCTAGATAATGTGTACTTAGGAGGCATAAAATGTCAGTTTGTGCCATCGTTAGTGGTGCTAAGTATTTTCACTTGGTTAAGGTGTGTCTGTCCACATTGTAAATGTACTTTTCCCTCTGTAATCAGTAAGATGTGGGGTGATTTTTTTGTGTGACTTTCCCAGAAAACTTGCACCCAATTGTTTTAGCATCCAGCAGTTATCCTTGCCTGAACCAGTGGTAGTTATACATTGGTGATTTAAAATCATTTCTTCTAATTTACTGGTTGGCATTCTTCTTCTTATTCTCAAATACTTCCCCATTCCCTTATTTTTTTAATTGTTATCATCACTATAAACTATGGATTTTTAAAAGTGAAATATGTTAGAATCCATTAATATCATTATTATGTGTGGTGTTGAAATTGTCCCAAATTTGGCCAGTGAGCTCCCTTCAACCTGGCTTCTGTAAATTTTTGACATGTTCCTATCAGTCTTCAAAAATGTTCTTGCTTATGACACAAAGCAATATTCCAAGAAAAGAACATGGTTTTCGTTCTATTATCTGTGTCATTCATAGAAGTTTTTCAATAAACTGGATTCTTTCTAAACTTTTGAGAAAAATTACTATTATTTCTCTCCAAAATGCTATTAACTCAGTTATATGTCTCTTTGAAATTTTTTAATAATGTCTGTATTAATAAACCATTCTGGTTTTCCTGGGCTAATGGGCTTCCTGGAATGCAGGATCTTCAGCTTCAAGACCAGGCAAGTCCTGGGAAAACTGAGATGAGTAAGTTACCCCCATGTGAATCAAATCTTTCATTTTAAAATAGAAAGTGACTCTAATTTCATTATATTTTTCAAAGTTCTGTTGCATGCACTTAAGTTAATTTTTAAAATCTTCAGGTAATTAGATTACACAATTGTGTACCATGTACAGTCAAGCATCGCTTAACAATGTGGGTATGTTTTGAGAAATGCCTCCTTAGGTGTTTTGCCATACAAACATTATAGTGTACCTTATAGTGTACCTACACAAATCTAGATGGTATAGCGTACTACACGCTTAGGCTATAGCGTATAGACTATTGCTCCTAGGCTACAAACCTGCACAGCATGTGACTGTACTGAATACTGTAGAAAATTGTAACACCATGGTAAGTATTTGTGTATCTAAACATACAAAATGTAAATAAAAATGTAATATAAAAAATGTTACACCTGTATAGGGCACTTACCATGAATGGAGCTTGCAGGACTGGAAATTGCTCTGAGTGAGCCAGTGAGTGAGTGCTGAGTGAACATGAAGGCATAGGACCTTACTCTACATTACTGTAGACTTTATAAACACTGTACAATCAGGCTATACTAAATTTATTAAAAATGTTATTTCTTCAATAATAATTAACCTGAGCTTACTGTAACAATTTTTCTTTACAAATGTTTTAAATTTTTTTTAACTTTTTGACTCCTATAATACTTAGCTTAAAACCCAAACACATTTCAACTGTGCAAAAATATTTTTTTCTTTATATCCTATAAAAAGCTTTATATTTTATAAGCTTTTTTCTATTTTTAATAAAACACACAATTAGCCTAGGCCTGCACAGGGTCAAGATCATTAATAACACTGTCTTCTACCTCCACATCTTGTCCCACTGGAAGGTCTTCAGAGTTAACTAACACACATAGAGCTGTCATCTCCTATGATAAGAAAGACTTCTTCTGGAATATCTCCTGAAGGACCAGCCTGAGGCTGTTTTACAGTTCATTCTTTTTGTTTTCCAAGTAGAAGGAGTACACTTTAAAATAATGACAAATGGATAATATAGTAAATACATAAATTAGTAACATAGTTGTTTATTATTATGATCAAGTATTATGTACTACACAAAATTGTATGTGCTAGACTTTTATATGACTGTCAGGGCAGTAGATTTGTTTACACCAGCGTCCTCTAGTGAGTTACACTCACAATAAGTGTGCTACAGTGTTATAATGGCTATGAGGTCACTAAGAGATAGGAATTTTTCGGCTCCATTATAATCTTTTTTTTTTATTATACTTTAAGTTCTAGGGTACATGTGCACAATGTGCAGCTTTGTTATATATGTATACATGTGCCATGTTAGCGTGCTGCACCCATTAACTCGTCATTTACATTAGGTATTTCTCCTAATGCTATCCCTCTCCCCTCCCCCTACCCCACGGCAGGTCCTGGTGTGTGATGTTCCCCACTCTGTGTCCAAGTGTTCTCATTGTTCAATTCCCACCTATGAGTGAGAACATGCGGTGTTTGGTTTTCTGTCCTTGCGATAGTGTGCTCAGAATGATGGTTTCCAGCTTCATCCATTTCCCTACAAAGGACATGAACTCATCCTTTTTTAAGCTCCATTGTAATCTTAAGGGACTACTACTGTATACACGGTCTATCGTTGACTAAAATGTTATTATGCAGTATATGACTGTACTTTTTTTTAAGATCTTATGACTAATTCAAATTAAAAGAAAAAATGAAATAATTAAATGAAAATAACTTTTAAAACTTTTTTTTAACTAGAAAAATAAGGTGGATTGGTTACTGGCTGCCCCTGCAAGTCCTCAAGAGCCCATTTAACTGGGGAGTATTTGTGGAGTGTTATGGTGAAGATTTAATTATTAGAATACTATACATTCATATTGTAGTTTTTGCAGAGCTTTTCCAGGATTTCTCATTTATTTGTACATCAAGATTTCAGTGTAGGTAGGATATTGACTTGTTATTACTGCTGAGAAATTGAGATTCAGAGATTCAGAGTTACTTAAGATATCAGAAATTAGAGGTAAGAGCTGGGATGAGCACCCAGTTTTCTGTTTACTGTTTTGTTTTTTAAATAACAATAAACAAACTGAATTTTAAAAACAGACAAATAAATACGTGTGTTTATACATCTCCCCCATTCCACCCCAGAGCCTAAAAAATGGTGAGGATGGCTTCAGAATCCCAGAATTATGATTTTTAAAAATAAATGTATGGAAAAAAAAATCCACAAATTTGACCAGAATGAATTTCTCTGAGTCTTCAGACGCTTTCCTTTTGCTTAAGAACTGACATTCACAATCTGGTAACTGTGGACGGGTGAGTGCCTCTGTCTCCATCTCTTTGGTACTTTCACCTAGAAATGACCTAGGCCCTGTGCAGCAGTCACCTTAAAAGCTCACTTCAAATTCATTATATGGAATTCAGACAAGCTTGCATGTCAGGGTAACTGGTAGGCCCATGGGTGTTAACCTCATGTCTCTGTTCTGGGAAGATACTGTGGCTGATGACAGACTTTATCTTTCCAGTGGTTCAAGTGTAAAATAGCTAAGAGCCTTCTTGCAAATAGCCCAAGTTCCAATACTTCGACTTCTCAGAGGAGACAATTAAAAGTGGAGATAAATGCTCATAAAATTTCCCCCCCAAAATAAGGAAATTCTTTTGCAGGAAAAGAAAGTTTAAAATTACATGGACCCTTTCAATACCATACTTTTGAGGGAATGAACAAGGTTAATGTTGGTGGTTAATCATGGTTACAAGAGCTAGTGTCACCCTGTCAGGCTGGAGTGTACTACCTTGTGGCTACCTTGCTTGGCTAATTTTTTGTAGAGACGAGGCCTCGTTTTTTATATCTGGACTAGTATTGAACTCCTGGCCACAAACAAGTATCCCAACTCGGCCTCCGAAAGTGCTGGGATTGAAGACATGAATCACTGGGTCCTATTTTTTTTTATAGCACTTATTACTTTCTTGCATATTTATAATTCACTTTACTTATGTTTATTTTTTTCTTCTTGTTTTTGCACTAGAATGTAAATTCATGAAGGCAAAGATTTATGTCCGTTTTGTTCTCTGATGCAACCTAAGCCCTTCAGTAAAAATTGTTAATTGAATTTCTGTGAGAATGTGTCTGTATATGACTAAAGTAGTGCCTAATATCAAAAAAAATTTTTTTTTAAATTTTGGTTAGTATTTCTTTCTTTCTTTTTTTCTTTCTTTCTTTCTTTTTTTTTTTTTTTGTCTGAGAGATAGGGTCTTGCTCAGAAAGAGCCCAGGCTGGACTGTAGTAGTACAATCATAGCTCACTGTAACCTCAAACTCCTGGGCTTAAGCAATTATCCCACCTCAGCTTCCCTAGTAGCTAGGATTACAGGCACATGCAACTGTGCCTGGTTAATTTATTTTTATTTTTGTAGAGATGGAGGGAGTCTTGCTATGTTGCTCAGACTGGTCTCCAACAACTGGCCTTCAAGTGATCTTCCTGGCTAGGCCTCCCAAATTGCTGGGTTTAAAGGTCTGAGCCACCACACCCAGTCTTTGATTGGTCTTTCTTATGATGAAAGTAACATATGCTAATAGTAACAAAATCAAACAAAACAGAAGTGTGTAAAACAAAAGAACATCTGCCTGCTGCTCTCACTCATATCCCTGGAGATAATCAATAGAAATAGTTTGATATATCTTCTTCCTGATATTTCTCTGATTATGCAAATGTATGTATTCTACTTAATGTAGCTTGTTCATCTTTCCAAGTCAGTACATTGGTTTTTCTTTTTAATAAATGTATATATTTATTCTGGTTACTATAGTTTGTCGATGGACATTTATGCCACTTCAAATATTTTTCTCTTACAAACAATGATACAATGAATAGCTTGTATGTAGGAATGTGGCCATTCCTGTGGGTATTTCCATAGGTAAATTAGAATTCTTCAAAGACATGTACATTCAAGATTTTAAAATACTCTGCCAACATGCCTCCAAAAAGATTGCACTCATTTCCACAAACTTAAACATTGCCTGACCTTGCCTCTTTCTCCATCCCCTCATAAGCACTAAATGTTTTGCTCTTTGCCAACTTTATAAGAAAATAGATTTGCTCTCAGCATTCTCTGATTGGTAGTAAAATTAAGTGACTTTATGTGTAATTAGTAGTTATGGATATTTATTCTATAAACTGTTAATCAAGTTGTTCCCATTTTTTCTGATGGGTTATTTTCTTTTCCTTGAGTTTTTACAGGTGAGATAGTATCCCTTTACTGATTAAATGCATTATAAAATTTTTCAGTCTGTCATTTATCTTTTTCACTTGTTTACAGTACCTTTCACTATACAGCAGCTTAAAATATTTACATTATTAAATCTGTCAATCTTTTTCCTTATGATTTCTAGGATTTGGATCTTTCTCACCCCCAAACAGTATAGAAAACTTCTATGTTTTATCTTTTAGAACATCCTTAGATTTATTTTTGTTTGGCAATTTAACTAGAATTTATTTTGTGTATCTTTTGAAGTATGGATCTAAATTGATTTATTCTTAATAAATAACCATAGTTTTACCTCAAATAATTTACATAAATCAAGCTCATTCCTACATTTTAAAATGCCACCTTTATAAGTTCACTTAATATTCATGGATGTTCTTCTGGACTCTCCATACTGCCCCATTGATATATTTGTCTTTTTTGCACCAGCACTACACTATTCTAATTACTGCAAGTTTATAGTATATTTTGATATCAGGTGGAGCAAGACCAGAACAAAAAATTTTTTAAATATTTTTATTTTTCTTTCCTCTTACATTGCCCTTTCCCAACCTAAATGCACTCTCTCCAGTTTGCTATGACTGTACCGATTTTCATGTTTATCTTGGCTTTTCAAGATCTCATACTTTACATTCTTCTGCACTGTAGCCATTCTCCTCTTCCTTTCAGGCTGGATCCATTTGGTACAAGTAGTGTTGTTATTAAGATTCAGAAGAATTTAAACTTCATCTTTGCATGTCAAGTGAGTTAGACTTTGAATAATTAATTGACTACAGACGCCTTTGGGTAGTGTGATAATTTCCAACTCATTTGGCTGAAAAGTAAAAGCTCCTGAATTTCATTCCACTTCATTCTCAAAAAATTATCCCATTTTGGCTTACCCACTTGGACATGCCAAAATTCATAATTTTAGAAAAGAAAAGCAATGGATTACACTATAGCTTTTCCATTCATTTTAGCTGTTTCAATGGACTGCTTAGTATACCTATGTAATAATTTTGTCCTGGTAAGATCAGTGATATGTTAGTGAAGAATAAGAATTAAAATTTCAATTTGTAATGCCATCATTTTTCTTAATGATAATAATAATAAAAAATATTATATTTGCAGTGTATTTTAGATTTCCCTTCAAAATGGGATCTCATTTGACATAGGATGGATGTGTGCCTGGGTATAGGTATGTTAAGTGAATGATATCTTAGGGACATTGCATACCGATTAAAATTAAATTTAACAGTGAAATATTAGAAGAAAATAATTTTTATTCTATTTCCAAACTGAAAATGGAGTTTTGATTTCTGAATTTGATGGAACTAACACGATGGCTTTGGCTATAATTTTCTTCATACGATGTTTTAGATATAACATGGAATGTCTCTCCTCCCCCACCCCATATTGACTGCTGCTTCCCTAGCAGTGGGTTGAATGTGGAGTCTAGGCTCCCCTGCTGTTGAACATAACAAACATGCTGACCATGAGATTCCAGATGTTTCTACTTCTTTTTGTTTAAGACTGTTGGACCTCCCAGGAGCAAATGTCAGCAAGGTTGAGTGGTAGACCCTGTCCCCTTCATATTAGGAACAAAAGTTTTCACCTTGAAGCATTGCCAAAAATTTAAACCTGGGTCCCTCAAAGAAGTAGGTCTCACAGATCCAGAGCATCAACTTGCATTGCCAGTGATATCGGTCAGAAACGGAACTGTCTAAATTGCAACATTACAAGTACATTTAGAAAGCGTATGCTAAGTTGAAAGACAGGTGTACTCAGTTGATGCTGTAAATGGGCCACATGAATTTTTATACTGGGCTCTGATGGATGAACACACAGGGAGTATTTTAGTTGCGATTTTTAACATTGGCTGGGGAGGAGAAGGATGTTATGGGGAGATTGGAGTGGAAAATTGATGGCACCTAATTGGGTTAAAGAGAACTCATAATAGAGGCTCTGTCAGGAGAGGAAAAGGAAGGCTGGTGGAGTGAGTCATCAGGTGTTTGGTTTGATGAAGCTCATTGTTTACCTCATTTACTCCGCTTGTTGTCCCAAATGTGCATTTGGAGCTCAGTCAGCAAGAGCTGGTTTTAAATTGAGAGAGCCTACTTAAAAACCCATTGACAAAATCTGAACTTTTGAAAAACAATCCTTTCACAGACTCATCACATTTTAGTGGTAAGTGAGCCTGGAGGTCAATGTCATGGAATGAATTAATCTCCTCAAGTACATGCTGTGGCTTACATCTGAGTTTAATGTGGTTGTTTTAGACTGATAGCTTATTAATTCATGTCTGTTTTCATAAGTTCTTTTTTTGGTCTTGAAACAGTCTTGAAACAAACAGTCCTTTCTAACAAGCCCTCTAAACTTCTACTTAAGGTTCCACTAAAACTGCATGAAGCAATTAGTGAGAAGAATTGAGAATTATAAATGTTCCTCACAGTGGTCGTTAGGAATTTGGGTTTTTGAGGGAAGAAAGGTGTGCTGCTTGGAAAGAAACACAGAACTATTAATATTGCTAATTTTTAAAAAGTCAGTCAGCAAGATGAACTAAACTGGGCAATAAATTTCAAGAGTGCTTCGCACAGAGAGGCATACACTAAACCATGGGAAAGGGCAAAATGAAAGGAGCAAAATATTTCTTCATTTCAAGACCATTTTCAGACCAGCGGCAAATTTTTCATAGTGTGAAACTGGTGCTTTTGATTTTCTGGCACTAGATGGACTGAAGGACGGTTACCCCATGCTTCCACTTCACCTCCCTCCAGCCTGCCTGCGCGCTGTTAGAGTTTTCGCTGAGCTGAAAACTGCTTGTACATTGGCCATTTGACTTGCCAGCATTCTGCTCTGCTGTGGAAAATGTAGATCCTCAGCCACAAAATGTCTTTCCATTAGTGATGGCGGCTCTCCAAAGTAGGGCTGTGGTTTCAACACAAATGGGCAGTGTAGGCCAAAATGAATGCAATTTTGAGTCTTCTATCTTTAAAAGGTGGATCTGGAGGCAATTTAGTGAGTGTAAATTACAATTGACTTTGGAAGAAATAACTCATACTCTTGAACCTCCTCAGATGTGTAGCCAATAGGGGGTAGCCAGGCTAACATGAAATTTTACACATCCATCAGCTAAAGAAGAGATCCAAATGTAAAAATCTAGCTATCATATGGATTCCCAACACCCCCTGGAGGACTTGCAGCCCACAAATCAATGAATGGTTTATGCTGAGCCAAAAATGTACTTTCACAGCGCTTCTCATTTTCCTTAACCATTTCAGAACACCATACATATGTGAGAGGCACAATAGCCTGGGAATTGCTCCTGCAGAAGGCACTCCTCAGCCATGAGAGAGGTACTCTTAAGGCAGCCACCGGGCACGTCGTTGCTCAGCTCCTTAGCTCTGACAATGAACCATATTTAGTTACCTTTAAAATAGCCCAGGGAGATGATTCTGCCATGCAGATGTTCTGGTCTGCAGTACTCTAGAAGGGCTCAGATATGCTACTCAGTATCACTGATTATCTTCATTGTTATGTCACTAATCAGATAAACAGCCTGATTTTGGTCACGGTCTTGCTTTCTTCTTTTGTGTGTGTAAAACCTGCTCTTATTCACAGGGTTTCTTTTCTCTCTGTGTGTTCTCTCTTTAATGTTGCTGAATAGAAATGTATTTAATGTTAGCTCTGCATATGGATAAAAAGGACTTTTATGTGGTTAAACATTTAAAATGTTAATAATGAAATTACAAACAGCAAGAACTGTTTATCAGCAACTAAATGAATAAAGGTAGTTTCTTTTTGGACAGCATTACTGTCTAAGGCAATATACGTGATAAATTTATATTATTTGTAAAAGATGTTTGATGTTTATATCTCTTGAATATTGACTTTTTAAATTAAGCAAGTTTTAATAACAAAAATTTTCTTCACTCTCTGCATTAACAAATAATCAACTAAAATGTTCAAAATAAAGTCTTATGTGGATTCTATATGAACTATTCTAAACAAGTGGGTATGGAAGAAAAAGTTTACCATTTGCAATAATATATGCCTTGGAATTCCAAGTTTGTACTGCATTATGTGTGTGTGTGTGTGTGTGTGTGTATATATATATATATATATATATATATATATATACATACATATATACACAAGCTTTTGCTGTTGTCACTACCTAAAGTTTTGATTAGGAATTGCTTCCATCTGTTTCAGGGATCTAAACAAAACAGTAGTTTAAACATATCAGAACTTTCTTTTTCTGTCATGTAAAAGAATTCTTGAGGTTGTCAGCTCAGGGTTAGCATGGTGGCTCCATGATGTCACCAATGATCCAAGACCCTTTTAGCTTGCTGTTCTGTCATTGCTAGGGTAGAGAGTATGGCCATCCTCGAATATGCTCAGAATGGCTGCCAGTGTTCCAGACTTATAGATGAATTTCAGGCAAGAATGTAGAGAAAGTAAAGGCCAAGGAAAAAGGTTTTCCAACTGAGTCAGCCCATTTAAAGGGCTCTCCCATGAGCTCGGCCTGGGGACTTCCACTTAGAGCTCATTGATAAGAACTTTGTCACATGATCTGCTGCAAGGAAGGCTGGGGAAAATAGATTTATAGTGAGGCACATTGAAGCCCCAAATAATATCAGAGTTCTGTTAGTAAGGCAGAAGGGAAATATACATTGAATAGGCAAATAATGCTGTCTGCCACAGCTGTGGTTTGCAAGGTGCAACTGATGGGTACAGTGCTAAACCCATGGAGCAATAAGTGTATTGCTTAAATAGGGATGTCTTTAAGGTAGTTTAAACTTAAACTTCTACTCTCATATGGACACACTAATAAACATAATGACTGCCTAGCATGTTCTTTCCTAGAATCCTTTCCCTTTGTGTTCCCTTTGCCTGGAAAACACTCTTCCCAGGATTTTGCATGGCTTTATGCTTTATTCGGTTCTTTGCAAAAATGTCACCTTATCATTGAGGTTCTTACCTGACACCTGGGAATAGATCCAGGTTTTGCAGGGTTTGAAACTTATATAATTTTGAAGGATGCTTTAGCAATAGAAAGAAAGTTATGAATATCAAATTAGATATTTACACATGAAAATGAGTATTGATTTAGAATGGGAAATCACAACCAAAAAACATATAACTACCACAAATATCACAAATCTAGAAGAATAACAAGATAATTCATATTAATGACTAGACACACCTCTTTAATGCTTTTCCTCAATTTTTTGACTGTATATTCTTTGATCCCCTCTATATGTGACAATTTAAAAATATTTTCTATAAAGAGAATAAAAAGATAACCCAGTCTTTCTTCTATCATATGCTATAAAAACACATGTTTTTAAATCATTTATAATTGAAAGGTTCCCTTTCAGGTTCTAAACAACTTGTAATTGGTAATATCATGTAAATTTTTATGACTGTCAAATTTAGGAAAACTCTATCAAGTGTTTTTGATAGATAAACTTTAAGATTTTAGGGAATATCACTTTTCTTATCCATTGACTAATCTTAAATGTTCATTGATTAAGACACTAATTAACCTGTTCATCATTAATGTCTTTATTACAGTGGCCTTTGTATTATCTTTGTTGAATTATCTTTGTTGATATCAGTTTTGTACTGTATTTGTTGATACCAATTTTTGTCCAATTATCCATAAATTAATAATCTGAAGACTGTTTCAGACTGAGAGAAAATCATGGGCAAAGGTAGGGATCAGTAAAGGCAAGGACTTCAGTTTTGGGGGAGTGTTTTTCACAAGTACAGCACTATGAGAGATAAGACTGGAAAGTTGTATTGGAGCCAGGAGGGACAATTGTCAAATGCTGGTATGTGGCCAAGGATGCATTCAAGTTCTGATGCCTTTAAGTTGAAACATGGGAAGACCCCTTAATGGAAAATAGGGTGTACCAAAAGTAATAAAGCATTGTGCTAAAATTGGCATCCAGATTGTACAAATCTTTTATTTAAATCCTAATTCTAGTGCTTGTTGGTCTATGAAACCTTTCTTGAAATACTATAAGCAGAAAAAACAGTGAGCTATGTAACTGAATCTCACTAAACACAAATAAAAATATATATCTAACCCAATTTTCCATTATCCATATCCTCAACATGCCAAACACCTACCCAATGCTAACATCTTAACTCCTGCCAATAGTCAATCTGGGCTAGTCAAAGTTTATTGGTTCATTTGGGCCAGCCAAGGATCTTTCTTGAGATTTTTTTCAAACTACCATTGAGGGAAGAAAGATTTTTCCTTTTTGTCCATGGAATTTCAAGTACATAAGCCTGGCAGCTACAGCGGAGGCCTGTCTCCCACCATGTAGGGAAAGTGGACCTGCAGAAAGGAGAATGAAGCTGACAGAGAAACTGAGAGGCAGAGCTCTTGAGATCAGTGCTACCATGGGCTTCCCCGCCTTTGGTAAGTCAGCTGGTTCCTTCTCCTTCTCTTATCTCTTCCTTCCCTTGTTTCCTTTCCTCTTTTCCTTTTTCTTAAGCTAGGATATATGGATTTCCAGCCCTGGCAACCAAAGTCTTAATTAATACAAAGTCAAATATTGTCTTCCTTACTCAGTAGTCCAGAAGTCAATGCAGATATAACCAATTTAAAAAAAAAAAACTATATATTTTTCCTGAATAGAATTTTTCCTCAAGATTTTTTTTCTGTCATTTAAATAAAAGAATATTTGAAGAAAAATATATATTACTGTCTTTCCGCCATTGGTCAAATTCTCTTTGAATAGATTTGTAAGGCTTCAAGAACAAGATGGCAGGGAATGACTCTCCCCTGGCATCTGTGAAATAGTGCTGCCTAATTGCATGACTGCAGTGTGAATATGGTCCCAAATCAACTCACATAGACTGACAGTAGAGCTGGCTTCTGGGGTGGGAACCATGGAAGATTTGTTACTCAGAATAAGGATGTTAGGGGAACTGCTATATTCTGGCCCAGGGATGATGAAAGCCTGATTTTCTCAGGCTAAGGAGGTTATTTCCCCCCTTTCCCCAGATTGCCAGTCATGTCTGTGTTCAGAGGCTCTTAGAGTTTTCTTGTTGCTCTTCTCCCTTTCACTCTACTAGGATGGGCTTGTGGGTGCCAGTGTTCTTTTCAGTCACTGCAGCCCTAGGAGATAAGTTTCTCTCCTTTTGCAACCATATGCGCTCTAATATAAGCCTCAAAACATAGGCTTCATTTATCCATTCAACCAATATTTATTGTTTTTGTTTGCATTCAATTATGCTGTCAATGATTTTGTACATGAGTATGCAATAAAAACGACAAAACAAGCTAGAAAAAGATAAAAATAAGGAAATAAATGAAAAGATAGTCATCTAAGACACAACCATTGACTGCTTCCTGGGCTTTGTGGCTGCTGCTTTTATAGTTGTCCAGCTTCTGTCTGCCTTTCTTCTGCACAACTGGCCAGTTAACCCATTCTTTAGAAAATTAAGTTTTCCATAACTCTATGTGTTGGAGAATGTGTTGCTAGAAATCTGTTATATTAGAAGAGGGAAACTCTGGTAAACATGTCAGCTTGAACAATAAAAAACTCTATATGTACTTAGGAGCAACACTTGGCAACAAAATATCTTGGTTGTCAAAATGGGTCATTGAAGCTGGGCAGGAAGGGTGCACCTGTAATTCCACCTACTCAGGAGGCTGAAGCCAGAGGATTGCTTAGCGTTCAGAAGTTAGAGGTTAGCCCGGGCAACGTAGTGAGACACCATCTCTAAAAAAATAAATAAAAATAAACCAAATAAATAAAATAATGAAATAAAAAATGACAATCAAATGGAGTACACACTTATTGTGATATTAAACAATAGAATATAATTTAATAAAGAAATGAAAAACAGCAAATATATAAAGTCACTTAGCTGGGAAAAAAACAGGCTTCAGGTGGAAATGTAAAACGGTGCCAATACCATGGAAAATAGAAGGGCAGTTCTCAAAAAAATTAAAAATAGAATTAACATATAATCCAGCAATCCTACTGCTGGGTACATAGCCACAAGGATTGAAAACAGCGTCTCAAAAAGATATTTGTACATCCATGTTCATTGCAGCATTCTTTACAATAGACAAGAAGTAGAAGATACCTAAATGTCCATCAACAGATGAACTGATAAAGAAAATATGGTGTACTCACACACACACACACACACACACACACACAATGGAATATTATTCAGTGCTAATGAAAAGAAATTTTGTCATGTGCTACAACATGGTTGAATCTTGAGGACATTTTGCTAAGTGAGATGTAAGCCAGTCACAAAAAGACAAATATTGCATGATGACAATTATTTGTCAAACACCGAAACAGAAAGTAGAATGATGGTTGCCAGGAGCTGGAGGAGCGGGTAAAGGGAAGTAGTTATTTGTTCAATGGTATAGAATCAGTTTTGCAAGATGAAAAAGTTCTAGAGATCTGTTGCATAACAATGTGGATACAGTTAACACTACTGTACTGTACACTTAAAAATGGTTAAAATTGTAAATTTTATGTTACATGTTTTTATCATATTAAAAAGATAGACTTTAGGGTTAGATTTCCTTCTTTTAACTAGAGATGGCTTACAATGTCTTACATCTGAGAATTCAAGCCTTCCTTTCCCTTGTCTCTTGCTCAGTCAATTTCCATCTCTTTTTTCTTCCAAAGATGAGCCAGTCTCTGGCTCTTGGATTTTCCGGTGGACAATCAGAAGGATGTGGGGAAGTGAGTAAGACAGCAAAGAGTCTAAAGGGAGAAGGATGAAGTTGTATCTCAAGGATTTCTAAAAAGAGGAGAGTGAGAATCTGGTGTGGGAAGATCAGGACCATCACTAGCCTATACAAAGCCTTTGGGTAGATTGAAAAAGGGGACCCTCTGGGTCAATAAAGTTCACCTGCTTGGTGTCTGGAATTTTGTTTGAAGCTATAGAGCCTCTTGCTCCAGCAGGTAGAATCCTATCAGTGCCCATCATTTGATGTAAGAGTGCAGGCTAGATTCTGCTCCCATTTCCCCATTGTGCAATTCATGGGACTATTCAAAGACACTCTGGTGTATGGGAGAAGAAAAGATAATTTTATAAAAAGATGTAAGCAGAGCCAGAAACTGTGTCTCTTTCATAAGCTTGATAAGTTTTTTTCAGGGACTTAAGATTTTAAATAATGAGATAGTTAAAATAATTAAACCAGATAAATAATGATGCAATAGACACCCATGCATAGCTTCAAGATTTAATCTGAATGAATGTATGGCCATATTTTCTTCAGATAAGGTAGTTGAAGAAACTTCTTTTGTTTTTTGAGACAGAGGCTGGCTGTGTCACCCAGGCTGGAGTGCACTGGTGACTCATATGCAGCCTAAAATTCCTGGGCTCAAGTGATCTTCCCATTTCAGCCTCCCAAGTAACTAGGACTATAGGCTCATGCCACCATACCCAGCTAATTTTTTAATTTTTTCAGAGATAGGATCTCACTATGTTGCCCAGGTTGGGAAGAAAACTACTATTGTAGTACTAAAGATATAGGAAAAGTTGAAATCCACTTCCACTCTGTTTCATGTCTCCTCCTCCTTCCAAGACATAAGCTTCATACTGAAGTTGGTATTTCTCTTTCCTGTGTTTACACCTTTACTGCAGATAAAGGTATAACATAAATAATATATAGTATCTTTTGACATATTTAAATATATACTATCTTTTTGTATCTTGCTTTGTGCATTCAATGTTATATTTTTGAGATATTTTCTTCTTACTATCTGCAGATAAGTTCTATCGTTTTAACTCTCCTGTAGTATTCCATTGTATGACTATATCATAATTTACTTATCTATTTCCCTATTGAAATAGATGGCTTAATGGGTTATTTGCAATTAAAACCAATTTAATCCTTGTGTGCATGTTTTTATAAACCTAAATGAAAACACACCCATTCTGTTCCTTCTCTCATGCAAATAGAACTGCTGATGGACTGCCCAGAAAACCCAACATTCTTGGAATAAATATTCATATTAGGCCTCTGTTGTCAAAGTTGAGGCACTCAGAAAAAAAAGTTCATCCTTAGAAACTTTCTGACTCTGCTCCTGGCCTTCCCCTTTTCTGGGAGCGCTTCACAAGTGCTCTCTCCATCATCAAGGTCGTAAAGTGCTGTGATTCTTTATCTTGTTTCTTTATCAGAAACATCGTGCAGAAGGGAATAATATTCCTGAGTTTGAGTCCAGATTGAAATTTAGCCCTAAGATTGGAAACTTGATGACAAAAGTAGAAGTAAAACAAAATATTACATAAAATCTTCAGCTTTCCTTCTTCCCAGAAATGGAACAAAGGCTTGAATACAGGTTAGGGAAGACCATGTCTTTGCGTGGGGCAACCTTTTGAATGAGCCATTTAGTTTCACAAAGGTAAGTAGTAACTACAATCAAACAAGATGCTTGAGATTAGTGGCTCCAAGGAGCTCCAGATAAAAACATATTGTCTAAGTGGTAAACAGAGTCACATCTTTACAAATATTGCTTTTGGGGCCAATTTTATTATCTAAGCAGAATTGAGCCTCTTTGCGCCTGAATAATGTTGTTAGTACTTGTAGAAATGAATAACTTGGAAAATACTGTCTAGTTGAGCTTACACATAGAAGTGGAAGGAGTTGTTTTCATGGAGCATTTTGTGCAGCTCTGGCCACAAGCAAGGCTCCTTGGGGGCATGGCTGCCAAATAATTATTTAAATAAGTTATAATTTATTTATTTGAATAAATGTTGAGTAAATGAAAGCAGGCTTGGAGTTGGAGTACAGGCCATTCTTCGTACCTCTTTATGGACTGTGAGATCATGAAATCCATTAAGAGGGGCAATATGAGGACCTGCTATAGCTTGTGTTCAGGAGAGCAGGGAACCAAGAAAAACAGAAAATAAAAGAGCAAAGGCAGCACTCTGGCTGTGGTGGAGGGGACCTTTGGTTAGCACATGTGATTGCCTCTTTGGGGTCTAGAAATATCATAGGGGCACAGAAATCATACAAGTGAAGAGACATTGCAATTTGAACACTGAGCATTAATACAACCTTATTTATATTCACAGACTGTTGAAGAACCTGTGCTAGTGAAGAGTGGTTAGAAGTATAATTGCTTGCTTTTTCGTTTTGAGGAACAGTGTTAAAAAGAAATGGCTGTGGTTTTTCCTGTCTATATGCACAGAAACTCTTTGGAAAGTGGCAAATTTTGTAGGGAGTATTTTCGGCTTGAAAATGAGGCAATTATAGAAAAGAAATGTGAAATATTTTTACCTTACAACCCCAGAGGACTTGATTTACAAACATACTTCATATATATTTTGCCTATAATTCCCTCAATATTAACCAAAAAAGGGTCAAATTTATATGCGTTTTTACTAGCTGAGGCTGGGGTTTCACGACAATTTTTGTAACATTTTAATCTCAATATTACTTTTATAAATTCTTAAATTATTTTTTCTGTGATACCTAGTTATTAACTGGATTGAGATGCTGTATTTCATTTTTGACTACATTGACTAGATTTCTCAAATACATTTGACACACATAAATAATGAATGTGCATACTTCCATATGAATTTCCATACTTGAGGGCTGGGAGACACCTCATTACTTGTCTGGATCACTTTGGACTGTAAAGTCCTAATTTGTAAAGGAATTCGTTTATTGTTGCTTTTAATTTCATTTTCAATTACAGAGCTCTCTGAGACCTTGCCTGAAGAGGGCTGTATGAATTTATTATATTGTTCCTATTACTGGTCATACATTATCCATGCAGTATTAATGGGAAAACCAAGGGAGATAAGGTAAGATTTTAAAGCAAGAGACTCATTTACAAGAACCAAACCTTATAGCCTTTCGTTTTCCTCTTTTTTTCCCCACCCTCATCATTTGTCTGTGTCTGCCTTGTTCCGTTAGCTTGTTAACAGTATAGTTTCTATAGCAACACCTACTGGTTGTTGTGATAATGAAAGCCACAGCAAGATCTCCTGCAGAGAAATCCTTGATGCTGACAAGATCAACTCATATTTTCTTTGTCCAGTGTTTTCTGTTTCTTCTTGGAATGACCCTTTTAGCAGAATGTAAAAGATCTCCACTAATTACCCATGAAATAAACAGCTGAAGTCAGGCAGCCCCGACAACACATTGGATGTTAGCTTTATTCCAGTGCTGGTAAGACAGTGCCTGAAAGAACAAGCCAATATATTTAGCTATAAATTTTACTACCCAGCACAGTTAACATGAAATAAAATGAAGGTCAGTTCACTTCTTCCGATTTGAGTTAAAAGGCTTTATTTAGAGAAAATTTCCCATGTACTCAGGTTTTAAGACTTCATCAAAATAGCCAAAGTAAATGTCTGATATTATTTTTGATGTGTGATAATAAGAGATTAACAATAAAGAGAAAATAATACATTAAAAATAAAAATAAAATATTGAATATTAATTCTGATGAGATACGCTTGGATAACCATTTACATAACCACTTATGCTAAATTCCCTCTTTTGTCTTTATTTTAGAGATATTAGGCGCAAACTTTCTATATTGTGTTCCCTTTCTGAATTATTCAGATACCTACACTGTTTATTCATTTTGCTTTATGTGACAGATTCATACATATTAACTTAAAATGGGATGAATTGAGAAGTTATGGGTTTTCTTAATTGCACATTTACCCATTTTACATCATTAATTAAAAACAAAGAACTATTGCTTAAAATATTAATTAATGTTTTAGCCCAAGTCCTTGATGCATTTAGGGTTTCTGGCCTTATTTCCCATCTATTAGACCAGGTTCTGTGTGTGTGTGTGGGTTGAGGGGTTGGTGCTTCTTCCTGACTCCCTTGAGAGCTCATCTATACACTTTTGTTTTAATGATATCTTCCTTCTAATGAACAAAAAAGTTAGCATTAAGTTGAACCCTTTGAAAATCTACATTAATTCTTTTCAGTCACATGCTATTTATTCCATAAATTTAAATAGTTTTCTAAGGGCCTTAAAAAGTTAATCCATCTTCCAATAGTTCAGACATTAAGTATCACTTAATGTCTTAATGCCTAGGAATCAAAAGCAATATTGAATGATACCATGCTTTTCAATTTCAATTATTAATATTGAGTATGTATGCAAAATATTTAATTAAATTAAAACCCAGAAACTGATAAACCAAGAGGTCAAGGGCCAGAATTCTTGTTTCCCTTTCCAATTTTCTTCACATCTTTGTATTTAGACGAGGTTATATATAATATCTACCAAGCAAACTGGCAATTTCCCGAAATTGCCATCTATTTAAAATACATAGAAACACACACACATGCATGCACACACGCATGCACACACACAATATACATGTTTGGTTCTGGGTAATGGGGTTAAAGAAGGTTTGTGTTTTTCTCTTAATACATATCTGTATTTCTACCAAAATTTATTTATTGAGAGTGCCTTATTTTTATAATTAGAAAAAAATAAGGAAAAACTTCTTGGTAAAGTTAATTATGATAAAGACCTTCCTACTAGGCTTCATAAATTCTGGACAGCCTCTGGGTGTTACTTCATCGTGAAAATCTGTAAATCTCATCTCCGGAAGAAGTAGTTATGCTAGAGATAATAATGAAAAAGCATTAAGGACCTTGCTTCCTGAATCTCAGTGAAAACTATCTGAACCCCACATATTCCTTATTTAAGGTACAAAGATACCCAGATTCAAAATTCCATAGTCTAGCATGCATCTGAAAAGTACTTCACCACACACTCCTTAGAAAGTTGGTATCAGAAGTAACCGTAGGCTATGTCTGCTTTTCTGATACATCGGGGTATCCCTAGAGCACTTGTTGATTCACTTGCCTCATTATATCCTTCAAATTCAGGTATTTTTTTCGGGCCTGGAATCCCAAATGGCTGTCATCCACTGAAATTTGCTTCAACCCTATAATCTTGAAGTTAAAATTTCTATAACCACAACCTGCATATTTCTCACTTTCATAGCTATTAAACCTTCACTCCAGCTACACCAAGCCTCCAGTTATCTGATTCGTCCGATTTTATCCAGACTGTCACCGGGTTTCCCTTGGAGCCCATTTTGTCTCTGTGCCACAGTCAGTGGCTTCAGTGCTTTGCTCCTTCCTGTCTTGACTTGCTCAGCCACTTACCAGCTGTCTGCCTGTAGTGGTAATCTCGGTTATTCCCAGTGCATTTTCTGCATATCTCTTCCCCCTTTCTTTCTAGTATGCACAAAGCTTATAACGTCTATCAAAGCCAATCAACACAAAAACTTTCCAGTGGACTATTATCTGTTCAATCACTCTCCAATTGATTTCTTTCCTTTTTGTATCAAACTCTCTGATGAGTGATCCAAACTCTCTTCCTTCTACTTTGGTACCATTTAATTCATTCTATAATTTAAAGTAGAAGCAAATTTCTGCCTCCATTATTCTTTTAAATCTGGTTTCTCAAAAATTGCCAGTGTTCTCCTTAACAAACACAGAGGCTGTCTGTCTTTCAGCCCCCATTCTCCTCAGGCTTTCTGTAGCATACACCTGGGCAGACAGTTCTCTTTCTAAATGCCCACTTCCCTTGGCCTTCCTAAATACCATTGTTTTCTGTTCTTTTTCAATAAATTTTATTGTATATATTTAAGGTATAATATATATATACCACATGTATGGATAGTAAAATACTTACTATAGTGAAGCAAATAAACATATCCATCATCTCACATAGTTACTGATTTTGTTTTTTGTGGCAAGAGCAGCCAAAATCTACTCTTTTAGGAAAAGTCCCAAATACAATACAATACAATACAATACAATACAATACAATACAATACAATACAATACAATACAATACAATACAATACAATACAATGAAATACATTACAATACAATACAATATGATTACCCATCCTCCTCATGTTGTATATGAGATCTCTAGAGTAGTTCTTTCTACATATCTGCTACTTTGTATTCTTTGACTTATGTCTCCCCATTTCTTCCCCTCCTCCACCCCTGCCCTTGGTAACTATTTTATTCTCTATCTCTGTATATTTGACTTTTTATTTTAGATTCTCTATATAAGTGAGATTATATAATATTATTCTTCCTGTGTTTGGCTGATTTCACTTAAAATAGTGTCCTCTAGTTTCCTCCATTTTGTGGCAAGTGAAGAATCTTTTTTTTAAGGCTGAATAATATTCCATATATATATATATATATACACACACATACACACACATATGTGTATATATATACACACACACACATATATGTGTATATATATACACACACACACATATATGTGTATATATATACACACACACATATATACACACACACGCACACACACACATCAGTTTTCTTTTTAATCCATTTATCTGTCAACAGACACCTAGGTTGTTTCCATATCTTGGCTATGGTGAATAATTCTGCAATGAACACAGGAGTGCAGATATCTTTATGAGGTGGTGCTTTCATTTCCTTTGGGCATATACCAAAAAGAGGGATTGCTGAGTCATATAGAAGTTCTATTTTTATTTCTTCAGGAACCCCCATATTGTTTCTATAATGGCTCCACCAATATACATTCTCACCAACAGTGTAAAGGGTTCTTTTTTCTCCATACCCTCACCAATACTTACTATCTCTTGTATTTTTAGTAATAGCCATCCTAACAGATATGAGGTGATACTTCATTATGATTTTGATTTGCATTTCCCTGACGATTAGTTACACTGAACACATTTTCATATATCTGTTGGTCATTTTTTATGTCTTCTTTGGAGAAATGTCTATTCAGGTCCTTTGCTCATTTTTTAATCACTCTGTTTTTCTGCTATTGAATCACTTAAGTTCTTTATAAATTCTGGCAAACTCTTCACTGGCTCAGTTTTGTTTTGTTTTTTTCTCCTTTACCCAGGCCTCAGCCTTCCGGCTTTGTCTCCTTATACTTTTTCCCTTGGAGAACATGCTGATTTAAAAAAAAAATATGATCCCCATGTGCATAACCTTTTTACATGTCCAGCCCTTACTATCTTTCCCCCAATTTCATGCTTCCTCTCACTCCAGGCAGAGAACTCTGGAAAGATCCCTGTAGGGTTTTTGTATGTACCAAATTTGAATATTTTGCTCTGTGAAGCCATGATACACGCTGGTTCTCAGTGGGGCCTAGCTGGGGGCAAGCATGGTGATGATGGTGATCAGGGTGCTTGATGTAGGCCCAATCCTATCCCCAAGGGCTTACCAACAGCAGGGTGGGTGGCATGGTCTGCCCTGGGTGCAGATAGTAAGGGTGTGTGTTTCAGGTATAGAATTCAAAACAATAATAAACCTGAGTAGGTCTACTTTTTTATTATCATGTGCCAGCAATTCTAAACAATGTCCAAATTCCTCCTCCTCAAAAAATCTCTTCTGTTGATCTATGTTCTAAATAGCTGATATGATTCCTGTTGAGTTTTAAGTATGTACATAGCCTTCAAATGAGGACTTAAAATTACTTATTCTTTAATAAACACTTTAGTTTACATTAAAGTTAATTTGAAGGACTTTCCTTTTCTAATCACCCCAAAATATTAGCACCCAGCCACTATATGCATTCTTTTCATGAATAATTTCAAAATTGTTCTAAATCTTTTCAGCCTACCTTGTGTGCAGTTCTTAGCTCTGACTCCTATGGCACTACATATTCCTACATTTAAGTAGAGGATTCAAAGTTAGCCAGGGTAGACAAAGAAACAGAGCTCAAGTTACTTCAATTCTGTCATACTAAGTGACCCCTTCAAGTTTTTATTTGTATTTAAAACCTAAAAGAGTAGAACAGAGTGTGACTTATGAGGTGTGACTTTTTGTTTGGTTAGTGAAAATTTTAGTTTATACATGCAATATTTTACTGAATTTGAGTAACATATTTAAATTTTACTTTTTAAAATGATTTGTTTGCTTTAAAACTAAAGAACAACTCAAAAATAATGCTTACTAATTATTACATAACTATTACTAAAAGTAATTTTGTTTTATAGATCAGGTTGTTAACAGGCTATAATAAATGTTTACATCATAGCTTCTCACCTCTTTCTTTGTCATTTATTCAGTGATTATATCTGCCATCAATGTATAGTTTTCCTTGATACTATGCAAAATACAATATTCATATCACATACTAAACACCTCCCACACTCATGCAAATTAAATGACAAAGATACAAGATGCTGAAACTAAGGTAGTATCTTTATTTTCCCTTGCCCATGATTGAAATTTTCTGTGCTCAGTTCCTCAGTTTTTTTTTTTAAAACCTGGAGTATACGTGTGCACCTATAAGCTATGCATTAATATCTACCTCTATAGATTATATATATATCTACATGCATTCATACAGTTTCTTTCTTGACCTCTTTGTAACATTTGATGTTATTTGATACCATTGACTACACCCTCCTTCTCTCCTTTCTTCTGTGACATCCCTTTCTTGATTTTTCTCCTGCTTGACTGACCAGTCCTTCCTTAGCTCACTCTTTGAATGCAGGATTCCCTAATGCTGTCTGGTGTCTCATTTCCCTTTTCATCTTCTTGCATGGCTTTCAACTACCACCCATGAACCCACAATTCCCAAAAAGTTTATACCTTAGGCCACTTGCCTTTGCTTCAGGATCATATTTCCAAGTGGATGTGCCACAGGTACCTCAAACTCAATGTGTAAAACTCATTATCTTCCTCCCTCAGACCTGCTCCTCCTCTTATTTTCCTTACTTTGGTTAATGGTGCCAGAAATCTTGGAATAGCTGAAAGTTTAAAGCTAAAAGTCATTCTAGGCTTCCCTCACCATTCCTATTTCCAAATCTTGTGCTTTCTACCTCATAAATACCCCTCCGATCTACTTCTTCCTCTCTATCCCTCCTCTCTATCAGGTTTTTCCTTAAAAAATTTACTGAACTAAATTCCTGAAACTGACTCCCCTTCTCTCTTCTCATGCCCTCTTCCTCACTGAGGAAGATATATGTTCTAAACACATATCATATGGTGGCCCCTTCCTGCCTAACATCCTCTATTGGATCTGTATTAGTCCATTCTCACACTGCTATAAAGAAATACCTGATATTGGGTAATTTATAAAGAAAAGAGTTTTAATTGGCTCACAGTTCCACAGGCTGTACAGGAAGCATGATGCTGGCATCTGCTTGGCTTCTGGGGAGGCCTCAGGAAACTCACAACCATGGCGGAAGGCTAAGAGGAAGCAGGCATGTCCTACATGGCTGGAGCAGGAGCAAGAGAAGAGAGAGGAGAGATACCAGGCACTTTTAAACAGCCAGATATCACAGGAATATCACCGGATATCACCTCAATGACAGCTTAAAGGGAGATGGTGTTAAAATTGCATTGAGGATTCAATCACCTCCCATTAGGCCTTACCTCCCATTAGGCATTGAGGATTATAATTTGACATGAGATTTGGGTGAGGACACAGATCCAAACCGTATCAGGATCCCTAATGCCTTCATGACAAAGTTCAAACTATTTAGAGTGTAAACCACAGTCTGTCATAATCTAATGCTTCTTCACTTTTCCCAAAATATTGCCAGTATCTCCTCCACTATCCCCTTTCCTTTAGACTGCTGGACTAGTTTGAGTCCCCAGTGCTGCTCATGTTCTCTCAATCACGTCTCTTGTCTCCATCTGAACTTTTCTTCTCCCTTCCCTACTCCTCTTCATAACCTTTTTCTTCCAGGCTAACCTGTCTTTGTCTCTTCTCCCTTCACTCCTCATGGTTTTTCTGTCTTCTCTGACTGCTTCCTCTGAGCCTTCACTGTCTCTTTCTTCTCTAATTAACCCCTAAGTGTTAATCAGCTCCATCCGAGACTCTTCTCTCTCTTGAAACACTTTCTTTTGGACATCTCACCTAATTCCATGGCTTTAACTATTAATACTATCTATATGCTGATGACTCCTGAGTTTTATATTCACCTGAAATATCTTCTGCATACCTCACTTGGGAGTCTCAGGCTTCTTAAATTTACCAGGTCCAAAGCGGATCATCTGAAATTCCTCCCTTGTTGTCTCTGCTCCTCCTTTTTTCTACATTTCCACTGCTGCCCTGTGAATTCCAACCCCATCTTTTGTTCATATGCATTCTCAAAATAGTCTGGCCTCCCTGCTTCCACGTCTGCCTCTCTATAATTCAGTTTCCCAATAGCAGCCCAATAATATTTTATAAAAGTAAATCATATCAATTTTTTTCCTGATTAAAACTCCTTAATGGCTGCTCTTTACACTTTCAATAAAATTAAAAATTCTTGCAGTAGTCTTCAATGCCATCTGGTTCCTGCCTCCTCCCCAAGCTCACCTCACTCTCCTACCTGTGTACTACACTCCATTCATATCACTCTTCTTTCCCTTCCTAAAACAGGCTAAGTTGTTTTCAGTTGCTTGTAGTTACTTCTTGGGATCCTTTTTACTCTCCTTTACCACCTCATTTGACACCCTCCTCTCATCCTTCATGTCATAACCCAAATATCACCTTCTTAGAGAGGTTTTCTCTAACCATATTTTCAGAGTAGCTCCTATCCCCCTAATGTTTTCTATCAGAACAACTAATTTCCTTCATGGCATTTATTACACTGTCAATATTATATTTACTAACCCCATCATTATATGAAAGACAGGGACAATGTCTGTCCTGTTCAGTGCTGTAATTCCAGTGTGTAGCACAGAGCCTATTCTCAATACATATTTGTGAAGAAATAAATGAATACTTGTTGAGCACACATTTTAGGTGTTATCTTGCCTTGGAAATATTTCCTAATAATCCCCACCGAATTAAAGCTTCAGGTGAGTCCTGATGAATTAACGGTTTCTCTTAGATTCCTTCCTTCCATTTTATACTATAACAATTGTTTTTCTATGTTAGGGTTGCTGATTTTCTTATCATTTTTCCCCAAAAGATTGTGAGTTCCGTAGAGCAGACTTGAGCTTTGTTCATCTTTGCGTCTCTGCCAGTCCTAGCATATTATCTGGCCCACGGTTGGTGTTCAATAGTTTTTTGTTAATGAATGAATACAGCGGGGACTGAAGAATCAAGTTCAAGCTCCCCAGGGATTCCACCAAGTATTTTCCAGTTGGAGAAAGGAGTGGGGAAAGGGAATCACAATTTTGTTTTGGATAATTCTTTGGTATGTAGAGCCATCTGGGGCATTGAGGACATTGTGTATCTCTGGTTTCTGGGCTCTAAATGCCAATAGTACCCCCACCCACAGCCATGGTGTAACCAATACTGCCATCCCACCTTTCCAAATGGTATCTCCCTTTGCAGAAACTCCAAACAGCCCAGTCTTCGACTTGAATCTACAACTTGAAGTAGTGATTGCCTCTTAAACTTTTCTATTTCCCATGGAAACAGCACTATTCTTTCTGCATATATGTTTAGAAATTTTAAAATATCTATTAATCTTTAATTCATCTTGGAGGTCATTAGGTTTGTTGGAACTCTATGAGACCAAGGTGAACCTTTTTAATCAGTCTAGAAATATCACCCATCTGTAGTATATTTATTTATAAATTATACCCTGTTTTCTCCTTAAAAATGAAATAGCCAGGTGCTATAGCTCATGCCTTTCATCCCAGCATTTTGAAAGGCCAAGGCAGGATGATTGCTTTCCTGGGCAACATAACAAGAGCTCATCTCTACCAAAAAAAAAAAAAAAATAATAATAATAATAATAAAATAGCCAGGTGTGGTGGTGGGTGCCTGTAGTTCCAGCTATTTGAGAGGCTGAGATGGCAGGGTTGCTTGAGCCTGGGAGGTCAAGGTTTCAGTGAGCCATTTTTGTGCTACTGCACTTCAGCCTGGGTGACAGAGCGAGTCTGTCTCAAAAAAATAGTAAAATAAAATAAAAACAAGGCAGTAAAAGTTATACACATGTAGTAAGAGAAAGCCAGAGGATAGAATTGTTTTAAAAAATAAATGAAATGTAAACAAATGAAACAGAGGATTTAGCTTGCTATAGTAGTTTCTGAATCTAATTTGAATATGATCAGTAACACAGAAATCATTGTATTCCCAGTACTTAAATATAATTGGCAGGACTTTTCAATGGTCCTTTCTTTAAAAAATATGGGACCCAGCTGGGTGGCTCACAGCTGTAATCCCAGCACTTTGGGAGGCCGAGGCAGGTGGATCACGAGGACAGGAGTTCAAGACCAGCTTGGCCAGCATGGTGAAACCCCGTCTCTACTAAAAATACAAAAATTAGCAGGGCATGGTGGCACACACCTGTAGTCCCAGCTACTTGGGAGGCTGAGACAGGAGAATCACCTGAACCCAGGAGGTGGAGGTTGCAGTGAGCCGAAATCATGCCATTGTACTCCAGCCTGGGCAACAGAGTGAGACTCCATCTCAAAAAAAAAAAAAAAAAAAATATATATATGTATATATATATATATATATATATATATATATATATATATATATATGACATTAGATAAGGATCAAACATTTTACTCAACATCAGGTTGAATGCCTTGATGGCTTATAATAATCAGTACCTTCTTCTTCAGAGCTCAGTCTTGTTAGTCTTTCCTAAAACACTTTGCTGCCTATAATGCCCTCATGGTCTGTGTTAACTTGCTCCTAAGTGAAGTCAGTTGCTTCCTTTTTATTATGGTGCTGAATGTAGCAGAATTATATATTTCATGTAAAATGATATTTCTTTCCTAAAATGAATGGTCTGTCAGGCAAACTTATTTCCTGAATCTGATTTTGTCCAAACTTCTGTTTCATGTGAGACAACATTATGGAAAATCACAGCATAGAGATTAGGCTAAAATCAGCTACATTACTAAATGGATATTCACACATAGCAGTGAATATCAATTTTTAAATATTTATTTATTTATTATTTTTTTCTTCCTCTAATTCTAATTCTTCCTCTAATTCTAGTGAGTTTAATTCTAATCATTGATTATGAACTACAAGTTTACTATCTGTGAAAATTAAATTGAATTCCTTTGCTGTTTCTAGTTTCAAATTAAGGCCTATAATCTCTCTCCTTATCAACTCACTTTGCTGGAAGCATATTTTATATGATGTTTTTTAAATATTTAAAAACTCACTTTTATCATTCCCAAACTATGCTTTGCTAAGGCAGCTGAAGACTCTATTTTTTTTTGTAAAAATTCAAACATGAATTTGTTTGATAATGTCATCAGTATCAATTCCTCTTTAATACTCATACGAATTGCGTCAGCTTGTCAATTACTTTAGAAGAAGACAATCCAAAGCTTGTTTTCTTGGTCTTTTCCAAATTGCCTTGTTGGCTTCAGCCTGTGTAAGAAAGTGAGCCCCTTGTCCCATATCTTTCTTCAGTAAACAAGCACTGGAGAGGAGGACAGAGGGAAAAGCAATTTAACAATGTAGAGCTTTCAGGCAATTTAGAACCATACAAAATTGGTACAAGCAGATTTCTGTTAGTAGTTTATTTTTTTAAAAACTCCACAACTTTAATTATTTTTTCCATGAAAAATATTTCTATCTTTTTCTATTTCTATAAAAGAAACAGTAGCGTGAAGGGAGTTACTGAATCAAGAATAAAAAGGAGAAATAGATTTGAGACTTAGGTAATTAATGAAATGCTTAATCTCAGTATAGAAATGATCTCATGCTGTGCATTCCACAAAATCCAGACTTGTATGCTATTTTGGCTCTATTACATATTCAAATTCATGCAGATTTAACTGAGAAATCACTTACTAGTGCATGAAAACAGGGACCACTCTTTTAACATTTTCAAGTGAGGTTGTCAACTCTGTTTTACCCTATGTGAAATGTATGAGCTCAAATGATTTGGATTGTAAATCATCCATATTCCTGTAATTGATTGGAGCCAAGTAAAATGGAACTTGCTGTGAGCAGTCATCTGAGCTCAACAGAACTTGGAGACAGTGTTATGAAATAGAAAATTTTAATGTGGAGATGTTAGCACAGATGTGGGGACACACTAAACATAAAACAAATAATTTTTCAAAAAGTTCCAAAATTCATTTGAAGGACATATGGAGTTATAGTGTCACATTTTTAAAAGGACTGTGTTGCCTAAAGGGGAAAAATCAAAAGGGATAATAATGGTTATTTGCTTGAGATAGTCTTTGTAGTTTTATTTACAAGAGTTAAAAAAAAAAACTGGAGGAATACTAACTAGGGAGTTTAGAGGGGACTTGAATAGTATACCATGGTACAAAATTTACACAGAATGCTCTGAAGCCACCAAAAAAATGATAATACAAAATAATTACTTAACACTTAATTACATTTTTAAAAAAAGCAGAATACAAATTGAAGATATGCTTTGATTCTGGTTGTGCTGAATCTTGTGTGCTTGTAATTATTTGTGTGTATTAGGATGATGGGAATGTGGAATTTCCCTTGTTTCCTTTATTGCAGTACATATATAATTTGTGCATTAAATAAAAATTAGTTTATAAAATAAAGATAACAGTGTAATTTCCAATATAAAAATATTGTGCAACTGTTTTCCATTGTTTCTGCTTCTGTTGAACTTGATTCTTACACGGAACAGTGAGCTTGACTTAAGTGATTTTGTTGGTCACTAGATAGTCCCAGGATAACTGCATTTTGCTGCTGAAACACCATCTGGACTTTGTTCAAAATTCTGCTTAGCATGAATTGTGGTTGGCTAATGTCTCTCCCTGCACAAACATCATAAATTATCTACACTCAATAGGGACCTCTATCACTTTGTAATTTAGGTTATTTCAACCCTTTAAGACATAGCTACATGAGCTTTTCAATATTTCACACTATTTCTTTGTTACAATTAGTATGTTATTAAAGGCAGTTAATGCTGAGCTTTTTTTCTACATGCTCAGACTCAGACATTATATACTGAATTATTTCCATCCTCAAAAGTTGGAAATCTTTTTAAAAAAATATAATCAAAAATTGGACACACTGTTTTAGAATAAGAGTACCAAGCATATATTTCAGAGTTTTCTCTTACGTTAACTGAAAGAGGTGTGGAGGTAATTTTAATTTCTTGTCTAACTATCTCAAATTCCTTCCCTATCATGGTCTTGGTCCTTATGATCCTTGGATGTTCCTGCTCCTTATTTAGCAAGCAGCTGTTGGAGATGATAAGAATGTGGTAATAATCACCTCGAGGTGATTCTTTGCATTTACTGAAGGTAAACACTCCAGCCCCATGAGATGGGGGACATTGACCTCCTGGCCCCTAACTAGAGAAACTAGAAAGAAGGCTTCACTTTGAATCTTCAGGAAAACAATGGCTGTCTCTTCATCTCTTTTGGGCTGATAGGCCAGCCTTTGCCTTTTTCCATCCACTACATTTTGTCTCATACATACAAGGAATTACCTTGCAGGTGCTCAGCAGGTGCATTGTTAACTTGACCCCCAAAAATTATCAAGCCCATCCCCTTTGTCCTAATGTCCGTGTGTTACAGTGACCCAATAGCCTGTTAGACTTGGGCTTTAGGCTTACTTTGGAAGAAGTGCTAAGAGGGCAAGCTACAGACCATGCAACAACGCACATAAATCTGAGCTAAAAAATACAGATAGGGAGCTCCTTGGAGTGATTACTTATTTCTCAAGTAAGTATCCCAGAGTTGGAGCCTTGAGTGGACCTGGTGGTATCTGGTCTTTACAACTGGCATCCCATGACACCCCAATCAGTAACCCAGGAGGCAACATCACAGACAGAGTAGTGAATTGATAATAGGGGTATAGTTGAGCATTGAGGTGTGGCTGCCCTTATCATCCCACTGAAGTGACCCATCCAGTTCTGTTTTCTCCAAAATAAAGTGTTCCAGAGTGAGCCCTCCTGGAAACAAGTAACCCAACTGTTAGGGCAAAGTAAGGAAAGGTGGGAGTAGTGAAAAGCTAATACTGAGTACCTAGTACATACCGTGCACCGCACAGTAAATTGTGGAGATATTTGAACTTAATCTGACTCTATGGCCATTCTTCTACCAAATGCTGTCACTCATAAAATGTACAAGCCTAAAATCATTTGGGGCTTTCTGGGATACTCTATGGAGACTTGATTGTGAACAGGCAGAGTAGGGGAGGATCCGATGGAGGGGCAGTCAGAAGATTTCAGGGTGGCAAAAGGAAGGAGCAGGCAATGTGCTCTTTTTAGGTACTGGATGTTGGCTAGAGAAACGGTGACCACTAATGGGATAACTTCATGTTTAAAACTTTTCAAAGAGCTTTCCCCTCCATTTTTTTCTGGCCAGCTTCACTATTTACACTGAGATCAGGGCTGGTCAGACTAGATATGTGATGAACTGCCAGAGTGAAGATTTGCATTCAGTAGAGCTGAGCTTGGAGGAGGGAATGTTATACACAGGGTAGAATAAGACTTCTACAGTAGGGCATACAGTCAAGTCAAAGTCCACAGGAAATGTCACAGGTCACACCTTGGAAGATGTTGTATAAACATGAAGTTCACAGTGCTAAAGGCAGGATTGAGGGCAGGGTCAGAGATGGAGAGTTTGAGATCAGATTGAGATGAGATTGGAGCAAAGGCAGAATGAGAGCAAGTAAGTTAAGACTGAGGCTTAAAGTAAAGTTTAGAATGAGTTCTTGAAATCATAGTGGAGGTCTGAACTTGCTTTTCTGGAAATGAGTTCATAGGATGTGGACAGGTAGGGCCAGCTTAAAGCTGAAAACAGTGTTAACATTAGCATTTGATTTTTAGGATGATCAGAAATGTCATACTATTTATGTTTTTTGTATAAGAAAACTGAGATCCAGAGAGACTGACTAATTTTCAGCCACATAGAATGTAAGTGATAGAGCTGTGGTGAGTGGGATTTATAGCAATGGTGAAGGAATAAGTGAGCACATCAGCACTATTCACGGGCATGTGACAGAAGTAGAAAGAACTAAGCAGTTTTGACTCTATTTGTCTAGCCATTAGGTTAACACAGGTGTGGGGGGACAAAACTCATTCTACAAATCCAAATGTGCATGAAAACTAACATTTTTTTAAAATCATATTTTAAAAATTTCTATGAGATCCCCTGCTCCATGGCAAAATATGTCAGTCTACTCAAGCAAAACATCTCTTGCTCTCAGAGTTGTTTTAAATTCCAGGTGGTGTGATATCTCCCAGGCCAGGAGAAAGAGAAGGGTAGGGGCAGGAATCTGGTGTGGATTCATCTTTTCATAATGACATCTGCTGAATTATCCTTTGTCCAGGCTATTCTCCATGGGTAGTCTCTTGATTTCTCGTAAGCTGCCTATGGCTCCCAGGCACAAAGTTTCGGCAGCTCCAACCAATGCCCCCAGAGGGCATGGACTTATTTGCTGCCATACTGGAGTGTCACAAAACCTGTTTTTTTTTTTTTTTTTTTTTTTTTTTTGTGTGTGTGTGTGTGTGTGTGTGTGTGTGTAGGGGTGATCTCTGGTCTTAGATGCAAAATAATTGTTCTCTTGTTAGAAAACTTACCCTGCTCCTTTCGTTATTTCCACAAGTCTTGGGCCCTGACTCCTCTTTTCCTCTGATGGGGACAATTGACACTTCCTCAATCTAATGTGAAGTATAGGCAAAAGCCAATATAGCAGATCAAGATCTCTTGCCCCTAAACCCCACTCCTCACTGCATGTAAATTCTGGAGTTGACCTTGCAGACCTTCATGGGCTATAGAGCATGTGTCAGGATGCAGTGCATTTCTCAGAGACTCCCTGCCAAATGTTCATCCAAATATCTTGATTTTCCTTAGCAACTGGATCGCCAAATACCTAAATGACTGGGTGTGATTGTAGCTTCTTCATCAGAAATTACAGCTAAGGCCAGGTCAGCCTGACATGAAGAGAAGTCAATTGCTTGTGGATAACCTCATCTCTGGCGGATATTCTTTTGTAAAACACATATGACCTTACATGTTTTAGGATCGTTTGATGAATGCTAATAGAATATTCTACTAATATTCATCTATTAAAAGACAGCTTTCTTTTTATCATAATAATTTATAATAAACATTGTGAATATATATACAGTTGATTAAGAATAGTTTTTCTCTGATTCACATTTTTCTTTGTTTGTGCCCTATTCCAATATAGCGGTGTGATAAATGAATGTTATAGAAATTTTTCATAAGACTGCCAGTTATTTTATAATAGTCAATTGTGTTTTTGTAAAATTTAACTTATTTCAGAGCTAATTCTATCACATACATATGTGAAACATTTATGGGATTTCTCTTCAGCTGCAAATAGAGAGGTGCTGGGTACTGTGAAATGGAACTGGATCGGACAGATTGAGTTCAAATAGTAGCTCAGTAGTAAAAAGTGTCACCTTAAAGCAGTCACTTAAATTCTCTGAGTCTTGATTTCATCCTCTGCAAATGGGTGCAAGATATCTGCTTTATGAGGAATGTGCCTTACATTGAACATCTGTTCCAAGGTACTGCACTGCACTTTCTTTAGCTGCCTTGCTACTATTAGTAATTGATATTTACAAATAAGTCTAGCAAAAAAGTGAAAGCACAGTAATGATGTCAAAAAGGTTATTAAATAAAATACTTTTCTGTGACCTCAGCTGAAGCTAGCTAGGGTTGTAGCAGAAGAAATGTCGGTGTCAGAAGACCTCGTCTCAAATCTTGTCTGTTATTTCTCACCTACTGACAAATAATTTCCTTGAGCCTCACATTTCAGTTGTAACAAACAGAGAGAGAGAGATAGTAATGCCTAGAGTTGTAGAGCCAAAATGAGATAACACATGAACATTTCTCAGATGCTTGCCCTTTATTAGGGGCACAATAAATGTTGTTGATTGAAACACTAAGCTCATTGAGAATTAATCATTTCAATTAAATTTTGCATAGTTAGCATTGTACTATGGCACCTCATAGTTTGTTCTAAGTAAATACTTTAAAAAATATTAGAAAATGATCTTTCATAGGCTAGCTTTCTTCTCACAGAAATTCATGGTGATAATCATTGCATTTACACAAAAAGAATCCCTATGATAAAGTGTCTTGTAATAACCTAAATTTGCCTATGACACAGCTTGTAATTGAATCTTATTCTCAACAGCAGGTTTATCCCGATCAGTTCTTTAATCTTACATTAATAACACCAAATTTTACATGATTAGATTTTTCAAACCCCAGTATTATGGTGAAGTTTACAATAGTTTTATTGCTGTGGCACTACTAGTATATTTGCTCAATGTGTTAGTCAAATAATGAGTTATTACCATGTTAGAGATGAGAAGACAGCAGGGAGATGGTCAATATTTCATCCAAGAATAGACAGGCAGATGATAAGTGACCAGCAGAAGGGGATTGGTCTACCCAAGGAAAATTTTGAAACAGTTTGTCTTCAGAGCACACCTATCCACTCTCCTTCCTTTCCAGTCTAATACGTAGAGCATCTTTTTAAAACTGCCTCAGGCTTTAAACTTCCTTCATCCTTTATCCATACCTTGAAGTTGTTAAAATGTATGTGGCTCATTCACTGCTCACTAAAAATTCCATTTTCTACTCTAAATTCCCCTACCTCCTTTGAAATTAGGTCAGGGCCAGATGACTAGGGCTGACCAATGGACTATGAATGGAAGTGACACGTGTGACTTCTGGCCCAAGGCAGTTAAGAGCTGGTGTACTTCCTCTGCTGCTAACTCAACTCCAGAAACATTGAAAACTACATTTGTGATCGCAACATCCAAGATGGAGACAGCCGGTGCCCCTGAGTTGTGGAGTAGAAGGAAAATCCTTTGGCAACCTGCTTTGGACTTTGAGTGAGGGAGAAGTGACCTTTGGTGTGCTAGAGCACTGAGATTTTAGGGATCATCTGTCACAGCACCTAGTGTAAATCCAGTAGAGAACAAGATATTCATTTGCACCATTACAATTATGTGCTTACCTTTGTTTTGTAAAGTGCACCATAATTTAGTTTTGTCTTTTCTAGAATTTTATATAAAGTAATCTAGCTTAAATCTTTTGTGTCTGATTTCTTTTGCTCTGCATAATATTAATGTGATTCATCCAGGTTTTTGTATGCCCATTCCTTTTGATTGTTTAGTATTATCTTACTGTATGAATATGTCACAACCTCCTGTTGGACATTTGGGTTGTTTCCAGTTTTTGGCTCTTACAAAATAAAGCTGTTTTGAAAATTTGTGTACAATATGTGTAGAATATATGTTTTCATATATGGTAGCCATATCATTTTTTATTCCTATCAACAATATGTGAGAGTTCCAGTTCTCCACATCCACACTAGACCTTGGTATCTTCTTTTCTTCCTCTTCTTCTTTTTTAAAATTTAGCCATTCTAAAAGATGTGCAGTGGTATTTCATTCTCGTTTTAATGTGCATATCCCCAGTGACTAATGATATTGAGCATCTTTTCATGCATTTGTTTGCCATCTGTATGTCTTCCTTCTTTGGTCAACTGTCTGTTCAAATCTTTTGTCCATTAAAAAATCAGGTTGTTTTCTTGTGGCTGCATTACAAGTTGTTTCATATATTCTGAATTATATATCCCTTATCAAGTATATGAGTTGCAAATATTTTCTCCTTGTTTGTGGCTTGCGTTTTCATTTTCTTAACAGTGTCTTTGGAAGAGCAGAAAATGTTAATATTCATGAAATCCAATTTATTTCATTTTTTCTTTTTTGATTCATGCTTTCTATGTTCCATCTAAGAAATCTTTGCCTAACCTGAAGTCACAAAGATTTTGTTCTGTGCTTCTCTTCTCGAAGTCTTATAGTTTTGCTGATGTATTTTGAAATAATTTTTATTTATGGTATGAGATACATTTATTTTTGTATACAAAATTGTTCCAGCACCATTGTTGAAAATGCTATGATTTCTCCATTCATATTGACATTTTTGTCAATAACCTATTTACCATATTGTCTCGATTTATTTCTGGATTCTCTATTCTGTTCTATTGATCTATATACCTATCCTTATGCTAATACCACATTAGCTTGTTTACTATAGTAATTCTCGAAATCAGATAATGGAAGTTCTCCAACTTTGTCACCCCATCCCAAAGTTATTTATGCTGCTCTAAGTCCTTTGGATTTCAACATAAATTATATAATTGGCTTGCTAATTTTTACCCCAGGACGCATAAGTATTTTGACTGAGAATATATTGAATCTGTACAGCAATCCAGGGAGAAATGACATCTTAACAATATTGAGCTTCCAATGTGAACTCAGTATACTTTTCACTTATTTAGCTGTTCTCTAGTTTCTGTCAGTAATGTTTTGTAGTTTTTCAGTGTATAGGTCACATACATATTTAATATATTCCCTATGTAGTTCATATATTTTTATGTTACCATTAATGGTATAATTTCTTTGTTCCAATTTTCAACTGTTCATTGCCAATATATAGAATTATAATTGATTTTTATATTGACCTTGGATTGTGCAAATTTACTATACTCACTTATTAGTTTTAGTAACTTTTTGGTAGATTCCTTAGAATTTTCTACATAGACAATAGAGTCATCTGAAAATACAGACAAAATATAAAGTTTTAATAATGAAATTTCAGACATAAAAAAAATCTTGGTCAGGCGTGGTGGCTCACGCCTGTAATCCCAGCACTTTGGGAGTCTGAGGTGGGAGGATCACCTGAGGTCAGGAGTTTGAGACCAGCCTGGCCAACATGGCAAAATCCCGTCTCTACTAAAAGTACAAAAATTAGCCAGGCATGGTGACGGGAGCCTGTAATCCCAGCTACTCAGGAGGCTGAAGCAGGAGAATCTCTTGAACCTGGGAGGCGGAGGTTGCAGTGAGCTGAGATCATGCCACTGCACTTCAGCTTGAGCCACAAGAGCAAGACCCTGTCTAAAAAAAAAAAAAAAAAAAAAAAAATCTCAGGGGAAACATTGGAAGGTACCATATAGATATCATTTGTGAAAGATTTGTGAAAAGAGATGACAAATTAATCTGAATCTGAAGCTGACTTCAGACCCCATGAAGGGGCAAAGGGGCAACAAACAAACAAACAAACAAAGAAAAGAACTCTTCTCCTTCCACAGATTTATGCACTAAGTATTAACTGTAGTGCTCCTCTGGACTTACGCATTAAGGTTAATCAGCATAAGTTTAAAATTTACTTTAAAAACTTTAGTGCACTAAAGTTTAAATTAAATATACTTGTTATATAACTTCCTAAGGGGACTGAAAGAATTAGAGTCAAGTTAAACTTTTAAGCAAAGTTACTACAATCATTTATTGAGGAGGTGCAGGAAAACCATAGTATTATGTTTATTCTTATAAGTCAATCAGATTAAGAATAAATAATTATAATTAACAAGGAGCAAATATGCAAATATTACTTGTCAATCATATTCTCTTCTTTTAAGGTTACAATAAAAACAATTCCATGGTTAAATATTTGTTGACAAAAGTTTACCATATTTTATTCATTTAATTTCTTAATATCATCCAGCTCTCTCCTCTTCCTGCCAGCTTTGGCCATTTTGTCATGTCTGTGGTTAATTTATATTCTATGAAAGGAATATCTTCCAGAAAAATATGCTTATCTGGTTAACAGCTATAGCATATTAAAGACCATAAGTCTTTCAAAATTTCAGAAGGCTATAAAACCAATTGTTTGAGTCAAAGAATATATGCATAATGTTTTTATGGATAGTTCATATTAAAATAAGGCTAATCTTACATTATGGTTATGCTGGCTTCTCTCAAATGCATATATAGTCTTAAAATGTTCATCACTTTTTTAAATTGTCAGTTTTATTTACTCCAAAGGTTGATTTCCTTGAAATAGATTTTTTTTTCTGAGACAACATTCCAGTTTATATGTAAATTGAAGCACACTCAGATTAAATTAAAATAACTGTGAATGATGGGGCAGTTTCCTCACATGAAGTCTTTTCTTACTTAACCTTTCCACATGAAAGAGAGAATCTGTACTTGGTGTCCACTGAACCTGTTTGACATTCCGGAGATGTCAGAATCCTAAAGAATACATTTTAGCTGGTCTGAGTAATGCTTTTGTTGCAAAAAAGAACTAAGCTGGAGAAGGATTTGTGATTTTTCAATTCTAGAAATAGTGTGATGAAAAAACTAATGATCCCACACAGAGTTTAGTGTTTGTGTAATGTTTATTCAGCCAAACAGAGGAGCATTTTTCTCTGCTATTAATCCTCAGCGTTTCTTAGACTCTGGCATAAAGTATTGGCAGAAAGCAATGTTTCAGTAGCATGTTACATTTCATTAAATATATATGGGAATATGAGTGAATCCCAAAACTCTTTTTGAAGTCAAGCACATTTTCTAACCTAAGAATGTAACACTTTAATTTGTATTCATTTTCACTCAATAGAAAATTATATTTCCATCCCAATTCTCTTTTATCTTGCAAATTAGTAAGCAATAATTTAATGTAAGATCCAAAAATCTTTTCATGTGATCATTTAAAATGTTCCAAAGCAAAAAAGATTTTCTCTGAATGGCACATATTATCAATTCCTTTAGCTTTCTTAACTTTGTTTTTACTCTTTTTCCAAGTCACTTTGAACATATCCTATGAAAATATTTGGAATGGCTAGATCCACTAAGAATTCAAATTCCATTGTATGATTTCCTCAAATCTCTTATCTTTTAGTGTTTGCATTTTCTCAGGGAACATGCCAATTCTGATGGGATTGTCATTTTAGCTTCCCAGAATCACTTGTGCATCCTTTTGTAAAACATTTTGGAATTGGTGTTACCAAATTCCAAACATGGTGGCAAAGAAGGCAGCTCCAATGCAGGCGGTGGGAGGCAGGAAAGAAAGAGAGAGAGAACTCTTCGGAATCTTAGTGAAGTTCAACCAAGTGGTAGATCTTATAAGACTTACAACAACAACTTGGCATTTACTGAACACTTAATACATGGTAGGCATTGCTGAAAGTGCCTTCTGTAATTTGTCTCATTTAATAATCCCTCTTCTATGGGGTAAGCACTCTCATTATGCTCATTGTAAGGTGCGGGAAATTAAAGAATCAAGAAATTAAGGGACTTCTCTCAGGCTACATAAATAATAAATAGCAGAAGTGTGACATGAACTCAGGTTTGCCTAATTCCAATGCATATTGTAAATCCACATCTCCAGCATTGCAACCAGCACATTCCAACCTACATCAGAAATGTATGTGCATACATTTCCAAAAGGGCTTATTTTCTTCTGAAATTACTCAGAATAAGGCCACAGCTTGTGTTTTTGGTTTTATGTTCCTCTGAAAATTTGTAGCCAAACCCACATTGCCCCCTAAAACTTTGAAATCTTATTCTATGTTTTGTTTTGCACAAGTCCCTTTGTAAGTAAAAATGCAGTAAAAACAAAGAGGCATTAGGCTCAAACCAGCATGAAATTTGCCCTCTGTTAGTCAGCCAAATCCTGCTGATGGTCCCAGAAGGGGCTTTGCTCAAGACAGGGTAGTACTATGAGAAGGTAGTACTATGAGAAGGACCTCTGGGCTGCCCTTGGCTGTCCCAGCCAAGCTTGACTTTGATGCCTGCAAACACTTGCTTTGATTGGAGTTGTCTTGTTACTGAGTGGGGCTCAGCTTTCCAGCGCTTTCCAATTTACAAACTGGAAATTCCTGCGGTGAAAGATGTAAAAATTGTTTTTAAATATTAAATATAAAAGATTAAAAATGCAAAAAATTGTAATTGTGTGATCCTTCTATTGCTCCTATCTTCCAAATGTGTAGCTATCTTTGACCTTTCGTCTCAGAAAGGGCAAACTGTTTATGTCCTGGTTTCAACTGCACCTGATTTCATAAGTAATGACTTCTACATGACAGAAGGTAGGGGCAGCCCCAATGACCCCTTTGCTCTAAAACTGTCATAGAACTGATGTCCCAGCATGGTGTGGGGGATGCCGGTGATATTTTCTTGCACCCATATTTATCAGTGCTGTATTTACCAAGCATTTTGCCCTGTTTTATGTAAGGGCAGGCTATGTGGCAGTTAAATTTTAGCTAAGGCAATTATACTTTATCTGCTGAAACTTTACACTAACAACTTTTAAAGTATTCCAATTACATAGGAGTATTTTTCCCAATTTGTAATTGTTCTGTTGAGTTCTTTTGTGAATCTATTGTGATTTGTGACTGCTCTATTGAGTTATGAAGCAGCAAAGTCTTGTTGAAGAGGAATGTATGAGGAAGTGGGCTTTCTGATGAAGTCAATAGTCTGGTTAATTCAGATCTAATGCAAAATTCCTTTTGGTTCAGTCTTGGAACAATCTTTTTCAAAAAGTAATTTGCAAACATAGTATATGGAATGGAATGCAATTGTTGATGGCTGAGGTGGTCTGGATTCATTATCTAAATGTAGTTCCTGAAAAGGGCTGTGCAAATTGGTGGCCCATGGGCTCACTACTGCCTGCCTGCCTTTGAGTCCTTTCTTATTTAGTCTCAAATTCTAGCTTCTTTAGGTACTACTTGATCTGGGGCAAGCTCTTTATCTTTTCTAAGTCTCAATTTCATCATCCATAAAAAATAAAAAAAATAAAAAAATAAAAAAACGTTAACTACCTCAAAGAAATGTTGGGAGAGGTGAGTGAGTGAATTCATGCAAACATCGTAGCACAATGCCTGGCACCCCACGAGTGCTGAATAAGTATTAGCTTTCATTAGTACTCCTACCTTAACTTTCAGTGTTTACGGATCTCAATACATACTTTAAAAATTGCTTTCCTTTGGGTAAATACCACACAATCAAATTATTTCCTTGCCAATTCCCTCTTCCTTTTGTAAAGAGAGTTTAAATGTAGCACAGGAAAAACTGCCGTAGCTGAGTAGCTCTGGATGGGGGTGCATAAAATGTTTTGTGTGATTTAGCAAATGTAATAGTTATTTCATGAATAGTAAACATAACTTCAGTTAGGTTTGATGAATGCATCTGTAAACATAAGACAGGCTAGTTTACTGACTCAAGAATATGAATTTCAAATTCCCATCTGAGATTTGAAAAATTCCTTAATAACCTACATGGTTGCTTTAATGGCTTTCTACCATGAAGTGACTGATGATGGAGGTTTGTACCTAATTAGACTGTCTGCCTGTTTTTCCCTCCTTTCCTCCTTCCCTCTCTTTCTTCTCCTAAATTGGCAGGACAGGGGAAAATAGGAAAAGCCTTATTTGTTAGTTATTAGGTCTCTCTCTTTGGCCATCCTCTTCACAGTGGAAGGTCGAAGAACAAAGGTCAACTTCCAAGGCTCCTACAATAAGCACTCTGACCTCATTGCCAAATCGCTTTTCCAGAGAGTGCCACCAGATCGTGTGTCACTTTTATGAACTTTAGTTTTGGCAAACCTGATGTTATGTGTCACTCTCTTTTTGGTTAAAATGTATACTCTCTAAAAGCAAAAACTATAGATGAATAAAAGCATGTTTGCAGCCTGATTTCAGAAAATGTCTTCATTTCTTTCTTAGGAATTGAAAGTATATTTGAAATATAGTATCACAGCAGGAACCTGGAATTTACCGGTTAGCTCCTTGTTAGCATATTATATTTAAATAATGCACAAAACAAAGTTATAATTCATGAACCATCCTTTGCAATGAGTTCATTTAGAAAGTATATTTGAATTTCATTGAGTAGAAGAAGTCTGCAAAGAGGTGGTTCATCTAAACATCAAGGTTTTGTTCTGTCCATTTAAAAGCCAGTTTTTATTGCTTTAAAAGCATTCACTTCAACTGGATACACAATGGCAGATTGCTCACAACTATGGTTTCACTAAAATGAATACATATGCTTTACACTTAATTTTAAAAATATTTTACTGTTTATTTCTGCACTTTAATTAATAGTTTAAAATGGGCTTTCATCCTTTAACCTCCAAAACTAACTCATTAAAAAATGGAACAAAAACAAATCGGCTCCTCAAAAAACCCAAAATAAAACTAGATATTGAAGTACTTTATAATTGTTAATATACACATAAATCTCATAATTTATTTTCATTTATATTTATGGAAGAGAAAAATATTCATATTTTTGATTTTTCAAAATGATTGGAATTAACATTGGACAACTGGTATCTGTTTATTTCATACATTTGTCTAATCATTACTTTATTCAATATAGTATATACTTCATTCAATATAGCCTTAAATAGGCTGAATATATTCACTTAACATCTGCCAATTATGTCATTTCATAAGGAATATTTATACAAAATATAGTCATTTTTGGCATTGTGATTCCAAATATTTATTGTTTTTTAAATGTACACCCTTTTCAAGTGTCTCTATAGATTTGAGTATACTTAAGTGATTGCTCTAATTTGTATCTAACCAAATTAATTAAACATTTTCAGTAGTTATATTTTAAAAAAATCTTACTTCAACTTGGAAAAAACAAACATTCTGTATATTTATTTTATGTTTAAAATAACAGTTGAGAACCCATAACCTACTGGATTCTACAGATAAGAAAAACAGATTTTCACAATCCTGCTAGCTCTGATAGGTTCACTAAATCTTGTTGATATTTGTACACATAACTCGCAGTTCATTGGTACACATTAGAAGCTTGTAGCCTATGGAAATGCTATTTACATGTGGGGGAAATAATATGTAATTTACCAAAGGATCAACAATTATTTCCAGTGGTAAGTAGGCTGTGATTATTTTACAAGATGGAAAACCCTTATAAATTCACTTATTGCTGGTGCTGGATGATGAAATGTAAATAGTTGTAAAAGATAGCATGCTTTTTTTTTCCTAACTTGAATTCACCAGTGCACTGAATGAAAAAAATGGTAAAACAAAACCTTGAAATGATGGAGTCATGGAATTACAGCATAGGAGAAAAAAAAATTCTAGAAATTGATCATTCAAGTGTGTCCTAGCTATGCAATGCTCCCGAAAGTAGAGCTCTGTCCTATTTTTACAGATCCCCACAGAAGGAAATTATGTAATTTATACCCTTTAGTTACATTGACTAAAATAAATTGCTAACAAGTCTAATAATTCTATTTTGACTTGCTTATGTACTTATTGGTTTCAGTGTGGAATAACCTATGACTCCTTTAATGAGTAATAGCTGAATGGCAAGCTCACAAGGTTGTCTTCACCTGGTCGCCCCAGTCTGGGCCAAAGTACAGCAATCCTTCCCACAGATTCCTTTTGGAGGAGTGAAAAGCCATCCCTTTCTTACATCGCTCACTTTCTCTTAACTCCCAACAGTGTTTCCCATAGTTGGCCATCTTTCGTGGCACTGCAGAATTAAGGTGAAGGAGAATTATCAGGTGCTAAGTTCTCCAGTAGCTCTCTGACACCAGCCCCCCAGTGTACTGATGTCAAATTTGAGCCCTGAGAATAGTCAGTGTTTGAGACCAGAGTTTGAATACTTCAGATCATAACTGTTAAGTCTGAGAATGTACGGGGATTTCATTATTGCCTCTCAGCAGCTTCTTTTTAAATGTAAACAACCCTGGAAAGAATAACACATTGAACTGTTACCTGCTGCAAAAGTATTAAGATTTCTTTCTTCTGTGGCCTGCTGCTTAAAATGAAGTTTCTGAAATAAACTATCAGAATATTTAAAACCCTGCTGGACCTCGAGGAGGTCCTGAGGTGAGTAACACAAGGAGTTGAAGAAATTTCAGATCATTTTTAGGCAGAGAGTAATGGCCAGAATAGACAGTGTTTCCGGAGTGCTTACAGAGTTCCAGGTATCGTTTAAAAGTTTTTTTTACATCTAATGACTTGTCTGATTCTTATAAAAACCTCATGAGGTAGATTCTGCAATTATTCCTCTTTTACACGTGGCAAAATTGAGGCAAAGAGAGGTTAAAAAACTCCAAGGTCACAGTCAGTAAATGACAGAGTGGGGATTTCAACCCAGGTAGCCTGGCTCTAGTGCTTAAGCAATTCTGTCTATTCACCTGGTTCCTTATACAGAACAGTCAAGGTCTGGAGGTAAAAACTTGTGAGGAGAAGCAGCCCAGAAAAGCAATGCAGGAGCCCCACCAGCTAAATCACCAATTTCTATTTTGCTTCAGATCAGTTTTCACAATCTGGTTGGAAAAAGGATAGTCCTAATTCCACGATCTCTTTTAGAAATAGAAATCTGTTTTATTTCAACTCTGCTAAGTCATGCCACTTCTGGTAAGCTTATCTTTTCTCTGTATCTAAGTTTAATTTTCAAATAAATAATTTGATTCCACACACACATGAAAATGATCATAAGTACTTTTAAATGTGAAGTAATCTGTACAATGGTATGTACAGTTTGTGTGTGTGTGTGTGTTTAACATGAAGACCACCAAAAATGCTAAATAACCAAAATAAACTACTCTATAAAGCTGGTTTTGAAAAAGGAATTTTTTTTTTTAAAAAATTGATAAACAGCTAAACTTAAATAATCACTTTGCTTTTTATTGTATTAATAGATCTTATCTTCAAAGCAAGATGAAATTTGGTGAAATTGTCTAGATAAGTCCTAAGGAAAGGTTACTTGTGTTCATTTGCCCTGACAAATAATGCTTCGTCTGCCCTGCCAAGTATGTGGATTTACTTGTTTGATTGATTGATGGATTGCTTATATTTTTGACCATAAAGCTATTGTTTTAAATCCTCAGGAAAATTTGACATAATCATATAAGCCAACTATGGTTTCCGGAAATTTGCTTTTCTTTAAAAAGAAATTGAAAGTCATTTGGTGAATTCTTTGTTCTAAAAATGGCAATTCAGACAGGAAAATTCTGGGATTGATTTTAGATCATGCTTCAGTTCTACACTTTTCTTTGCCAACAGAGACTTGGTTACACTCCACCAGCCTGGTGTTGTGTTTTGGAACTTGGAACATCCCATCATTGAGAGTCATTACCATATATTGCTCCGGGAAATTAACTGTGTAGCTGTCAGTAATTTCCAGGAAAGCTATCCTACTCACTTTCCTGCTTTGAATCACCAGGCAGGTCTGTGATTACTCAGGCCCTAGGCAAATGTTTCTATGATGAGGTCTATTCTATAGGGAAAGTGAGGAATGGGGTTGGGTCCATAAGAGTAGGTTCTTCCTTAAAGTCATGTGATAAGCATCAGCCAAACCATCTCCAATACTGCTTTCATTTCAAACTTTAACAATCTTGGATGCAACTGGAAAGTTGTTATTTAACCCAATTACCCTTGGAGGGACTGGTCCTCTGGATGAAGGCAAGAAGATACACGATCAAATTAACAGTAGCAAGATGAGTAGCAGGAAGCTACAGTCAGCTCATTCAGAGAAGTAAAGATCTAATCAAGTACCATGTCAGCACGGTAAAGTTAAAGTGTATTTGGAAAGACCCACCAATGCCAAGGTTTCCTTGCATAAAATATAGCACAAGTTCAGGCTTCTAAACTCTACATACCTCTGACCTTTGGCTCTTTTATGTCTCTATTTTTCTGGCCTGACAGACCACATGCCAATGTGCAACCCAGAATCCCTCACCCTTGTGATTTATGGCTTACAGCTGCTTCAGCGTCTCCACCATGGCAGCTGCTTTTCAGATGTCTTCAAACCAGAGGGAGAGTGTTAATGTGAACTTGAGTGGCTGCAGAAGAGAGGAAGAAAAGTTGATGAAAAAATCATCTGAATTCAGCCCCAAAGCTTTCCATTGATCTTTGCCTTCAGGGCCAAGCAAAATGTTTGGTTTATTTCATAAGCTAATTAGGTGTGTGAAAGGCTACTTGGCATTTACTATTGACTGAACCCAACAAAAGTGATCACCAGACTAGGTAATCAATAAGAGATCGATTACAAGCGTGTGATTGGATTAGCCATTTGATCAATGCTGTGTGCTAATATATTAACAAGCAAATTACCGAGTAGCCCTTAAGAGCAGAATGCTGACTCTGATTGCATTACAAACTAGTGAGATCTAATGACCTACCAAGTGCAAGGGTTAGTTATACAAATCAAGACCTGAAAGTATTTTTTTCCTTGAAGATTTCTCCCCCTCCAAAGAAAATGCTTTCTTAAGTGAGATTCAAATTAAATTACAATTAGCAAGCAGCTGTACTGAGACACCTAATTTCCAAGTAGATATCATGAATGAGAAAGAGGGCTTGGGAACTCCAGATGAAACAGCCTAGAGACTTTTAGGAAGAGCTGGCTAATATCAAAAAGGGAAAAACAAAAAAAAGTCAGAATAGTCACTAATATTTCTCTAATGAAATTTTGATTCATAGTTTCCCAGTTTGGATATATCGAGCTCTTCCATGATAGACTCTAATGTCGCTTGATCTTTATTAAAACTATGTATGTTTTTCCAGCTCCCATTTTGCAGGTAACCTGTTATGTAACTGCTTCAATAGCAGAATAAACAATAGATGTGTGTGTGTGTGTGTGTGTGTGTGTGTGCGCGTGCAGGATGAAGAACTGTGGCTAGTAAAGTACCCTTTTGAGAAAAACAAAAAATTACAAGACAGGTTAGTGCAAAAGTAATTGCAGTTTTTGCCATTTTTTAAAAAGTAATGCAAAAACAGCAATTACTTTTGCACCAACCTAATACAATGTGGAGTGAAGAAAATGTTCTCCACCGTCTAAGTCTTTAGAACTTGTTTCCATTAGCTGATTCCATAAGTGACCTTACAAGAGCAAAACCCCACAAAACAGAGCTCCTCTCCAACCCTGCTTTCCCCATGATTAGGTGAAGCATTTGTTCAATTGATTGTGCTCTTTCAGATTCCCTAAGTGGAGACCAGGCAAGCCTTTGCTCACTTTCCCTCTTAATCCTTTTCCTTTGAAGAAACATTTTTTTTTCCCCTTTGCCTCAGGGAAGCTGAACCGATTAGTCTGAATTCTCCAGTGTTATTTGCAGATGGAAAGGTCTCCCCGGGCCCGGAGGCAGAGTGTCAGCCCGAGCGGCGGCGAGGCCGAGGCGGGGCGTGCTCCCGCGGTGTGGAGGCCGGAGCCGGCTGGCAGGCTGCGGCCTCGTCCGGCCTGGGCGGAGCAGCTGACAAAACAGCCTGCCTGGCTGGGCCGCCAGGGAGGGTGGGAGGGGAGAGGCTGTCAATCAATATCACGGACGCGCAGGAGGGAAACGGAAGATCTGACGGAGCCCTGTCAGTTCCGAGACGCCAAAGTGAACCAAGATTGGGTTTGCCCGCGGTTGGGGACACCTGGTACTTCAGGGTTAAGTGTTTTGGGCACTAGGGGCGCAGGCAGATTTTCCCCTACTTGATACACGTTTGGTGGGTTTCAATTTTTATACTTTAATACATCCGTTTCCGTACCCAAATAGCTAATTCAGTGCCATTGAGAGTACCTAGTGACATTTTTATGAGAACTCTTTTTCCATTTGACTTAAAACTGATGGTAGGAAGTGATCGCAGATGACAGTCCTTTCAGATCTATTCCTTTGTGTTACTCCTTTGTGTGAAAAGCCCCATTCTACGTTTTAAAATACTTTCTGTGCCTACAGAAGCATAAAGTACAGGAAGCTAGCAATATACAGTCACAGAGCTTACTTCTCTTTAAATGAAACGATGAAGTCATCACGTTTATTGTTGATAGAATCTCAACTCACAGTTTACCTCAGGGTGAAGTTCTGTGATAAATGACGTATCTTTGGAATCTGACGAAGCCTCAACTACAGTGGCATATGGTGTAATGATAAAATAATGCTTTTTTAAATCATTACACCATATGATATGGTGTATCATATCATGCTACAAAATGATATGATTTTGCTACAAAATGAGTTATTTCAGTCATCAATGATTACATTCATGATGAGGAACAACATACTTTGAACCAGCAGTAAAATCTCTTCTAATTAATCTTATGTTCATCAAAAACCTCAAACAGAGCAGTTAAAAGAATATCCCGCATCTCATAAATGCAAGTCAGGTGACTATAATGCTATAAACCACTTATTGGAGTGTTACTGATTAATGCCTCTGACATTATTCTACCCTTCTCCTTCTGTAGTGTTATTAATTTGAAGATAGCATCATAAACATTTCTCCACAAGAACCAGCTGTATGGCTCTAGATGATAATGATTGTAATTATTTAAGATAGAAACCAATGGAGGGCAAGCTTCTTGCTTATCACTGTGCCTGATTTAGTAACATGCTGGTGTGCAGGAAGAACTGAGAAGAGGAAGCGAATGATAACAGGCAAAAAAGAAATTTGTTCACATTCAGTAATTCATTTGGGGATTTGTGACTATTTCACTTGGGACAAAAACAAAATCGTTAAGTGACTTGACAAACATAGATCATTAGAATCTATTACACTCTGAACATCATCTAAAGTATATACACTTTCCAGTCCATAGTTTCTTTTTTTAAAAAAAAGTCAATTTTATTTCTAAACTGTCTCATTTTACCTATTTCCATGTTAAATTTAATGACAGTTGATACTGAAGATTTAATGTGATACTTCTCATCAGTTTGCAGATAATTGTTTTGTAGAATATTACAGTGTCCTTTGGCTTTATCCATACCTTATACAGCCTGTTGTTGACCTTCTTCAGTGTGAAAATGAAGGGTATGTTGTTTTGCCTACTTTCATCCACAGAGGATCATTCCCAAACATAAGTGGTATCATTCTTGAAAGCTCCAGTAGGCAGGATTATAACTTGGTTGCAATAGACAGCTCAAGTGTTATCCTGTGAAAGGCTGATGTTTAATGAAGATGAAAAAGCAGGGTTGCGTGGTTAGCTGAAGCATGCATGAGTGATGTGGCTTACAAGAAGAAAGAAAAATGATTCTAATAAAAAAACTTTATTAAATACCCATTAGGATGGTTGTCACTTAAAAAAAAGTAACAAGCGTTGGAGAGGATTTAAAGAAATTGGGAACCTTCTACACTGCTGGTGGGAGTGTAAAATGGTGCAGCTACTGTGGAAAACAGTGTGGAAGATCCTCAAGATTTTAAAAGTAGAATTAGCACACGATCCAGCAATTTCACTTCTGGGTATATACCCAAAAAAATTGAAAGCAGGGGCTTGATCAGATGTTCCTAGCAGTATTATTCACAATAGCCAAAAGTGGAAGCAACCCAATCTGTCTATTGCTGGTTGAGTAAATAAACAAAATGTCATATACTCACACGAAGGAATTCAGCCTTAAAAAGGAAGGAAATTCTGACACATGCTACAACATGGATGAACCTTGAGGACCTTACGCCAGGTATAATAAGCCAGTCACCAAAGGGCAAATATTGTATGATTCTACTTATATGAGATATCTAGAGTAGTCAAATTCTTAGAGATAGAAAGTAGAATGGTGGTGCCAGGGGCTGGGGGGAGGGAGAAATGGGGAGTTATACAGAGTTTCAGTTTGGGAAATGAAAAAAACTCTAGTGATAGTTGAACAACATAAATGTACTTAAGTCACTGAATGTCACATTCAGTGTAAATAATATAAAGCAAATTTTATGTTACGTATACTTCGCCACATGTTGCATTCAGTGTAAATAATATAAAGCAAATTTTATGTTACGTATATATTGCTACAGTTAAAAGAAAAATTCTAGTTAGGGGATAGCACACAGGGATAATCTATTATCTTCATGTGTCACCTCCTTTCTTTTTGAGGAGAAGGAGAAAGCAGTTACCTGCCAAAGTGTATGTTGCATTTTTTCTCCTTCTTCTGGGGGCTCAGGCTGGAGAGGAATATTTTTCATTCCCCTGCGGCCCTTGGCTGCCTGGGAGCAAAGTTTGAGGGAAATGCTGAACAAGGAGTTGAACTATTTGGGCTGCTTTAGCTGGCTTTCCAGAGTAAAGTTTACAATTCACATAGGTAGACTGCATCAATAGGCTACAATTCACACAGGTAGCCTACCAGAAGTTCCTTTACTGCACTGGGTGACAGGTGGGAGGAAATAGCAAAAAGAGTTGCAACTTTCACTTGCTCCCCTTCATACAATAAATATTTACTGAGTGATTATGTGCCGGGATCCATTATGGGCCTCATTTGACTCAAGACAAAGTTCCACACTCAGTAGGGAGCTATGGTCATTCCAGCCCTTTCCAGTTACTGTCTACACAAATTGCCATAATGATGGTTAATGTCTGTCACAGGGGTTAGGGCTGTAATACCAACAAACCAGAATCTTTTAAAAACATGTCACTGATCAATTTGTTTTGAGTTTTCTAATATTTTTGAATCCCACTTATAATTTTTGCCTTGGCCTTGAAGAGGAGCAAGAGTTTCATTAGTCTATGAATATTATTCAGTGATCATCATAAATAGCACCTGAAGTTTATATAGAAGTTTTACCTACTATCCTAAACTGACCGTTTTACACTCTTACATTTTGAGATTTGCTTTTTTTTCCATATATTTTATGGCAGAGACTTTGGATCTAACCTATATGCTGAAGTTAATTGATTTTTATCCTCATTTTAAAAGTCTAAAGTTTTTGGTACCTTCAAAAGGATATATGCAACATATATGTAAATTATAAAACATAATAATAAGATGAACATCTGTGAACTGACCATGCAACTTAAGGAATAGAACGGTATCAATATTGTTGAAGCATCCTTCTTACTTCTTCTGCATCCCATATATCCACCCAAGAGATCACACTAACCTAATTTTTAAAATCATTCTCTTTCTATTCTACTATATATGTATATATCCCTCTGATGGTTAATTTTAAGTTTCAACTTGACTGGGATAAGAGGTATCCATATAGCTGGTGAAATATTATTTCTGGATGTGTCTGTGAGGGTGTTTCTGAAAGAGATTAGCATTTCTATTGGCAGACTGAGTAAAGTAAACTACCTCACCAATGTGGGTGGAAATGACCAATCCTTTGAAAGACTGAAACAAAGAGGCAGAAGAAGGGCAAATTTGCCTTCCCTGCTTGAGGTGACATCCATCTTCCACCCTCTGACATTGGTGCTCCTTGCACCATTGACACCCCACTTCCCAGGCCTCTGAACTTAGACTGAATTACGCCACTGGCTTTCCTCGTTCTCCAGTTTGCAGATGGCAGATTGTGTGATCTCTTGGATTTCATAACTGTGTGAGCAAATTCATATAATAATATGAACATGCTACAAATAAAATATATAAAATATGTCATACTATGAACACATAAAAATTGATATAAGTATCCTCATATATATCTATATACAGTCATGCATCACTTAAGGACAGGGATACATTCTGAGAAATGCATCATTAGGTGATTTTAGGCATTATGCAAACATCATAGAGTGTACTGACACAAACCTAGAAGGTATAGCCTATTACATACCTAGGCTGTATGGTATAGCTTATTGCTCCTAGAATATAAGCCTATATAGCATGTTACTGTACTGAATACTGTAGGCAACTGTAATACAGTCATAAATATTTCTGCATTCAATCATATCTAAACATAGAAAAGGTACATCAAAAATACAGCATAAAAAATAAAAAATGGCACAACTATATAGGGCAGTCACCGTGAATGGAGCTTACAAGACTAGAAATTATTCCGGGAGGTTGAGGGAGTGGTGAGTGAATGTGAAGGCCTAAGATATTACTGTACACTACTGTAGACTTTATAAACACTGAAAACTTAGCCTGTACTAAATTCATTAAAATTTTTCTGTTCTCAATAATAAATTAATTTTAGCTTACTGCAACTTTTTTTCTGACTTTTTATTTATTATTATTACTTTAAGTTCTGGGGTACATGTGCAGAACATGCAGGTTTGTTACATAGGTATATTTTGCCATGTTAGTTTGCTGCACCCATCAACTCGTCATTTACATTAGGTATTTCTCCTAATGCCATCCCTCTCCCAGCCTCTCAACCCCCTACAGGCCCCAGTGTGTGATGTTCCCCTCCCTGTGTCCATGTGTTCTCATTGGTCAGCTCCCACTTATGAGAGAGAACATGTGGTGTTTGGTTTTCTCTTCTTGTATTACTTTGCTGAGAATGATGGTTTCCAGTTTCATCCATGTCCCTGCAAGGGACATGAACTCATCCTTTTTTATGGCTGTATAGTATTCCATGGTGAAACTTTTAAATTTTTTAACTTTCTGACTGTTTGTAACACTTAGCTGAAAACAAATACATTGTACAGCTGTACAAAAATGTTTTCTTTCTTTATATCCTTTTTCTATAAACTTTTCTATTTTTAAATTTTATTTTATTTTTTACTTTTCATACTTTTTTGTTAGAAACTAAGACACAAACACATACATTAGCCTAGGCCTACACAGGATCAGGATCTTCAAATATCACTGTCTTCCACCTCCACATCTTGTCCTACCAGAAGGTTTTCAGGGGAAATAATATTCAGGGAGCTGTCATCTCCTATGATAACAATGCCTTCTTCTGGAAAACCTCCTGAAGAATCTGTTTGAGGCTGTTTTACAGTAAACCTTTTATTTTTAATAATTAGAAGGCGTATACTCTAAAATAACAATACAAAGTATAATATGGTAAATACATAAATTAGTAACATAGTCATTTATGATCATTATCAACTGTCATGTACTATACATAATTGTATGTGCTAGACTGTTAGGCAATTGGCAGTGCAGCAGGTTTGTTTATACCAACATCACTACAAACATGTGAATGATGAATAACTCCTTGCACTATGGTGTTATGATGGCTACAATGTCAGTAGGTGATATGAATTTTTCAGCTCCATTATAATCTTATGGGACCAACAATCTATATGTAGTATGTCATTGAAAAAATGTCATTATATAGCACATGACCCTATATCCTATTGGTTCTGTTTCTTTGAAAAATTCTGACTAACAGAAACACTAAGAAATGTATTGTTTTTCTTTTGTTTTTGAATATTTAAAATGGTACTATATTGCTTATATGGCCTGCAACTTGATTTTTCCATGCATCATGTTTCTTAAAGTCACCCTTCTTCACATGGTAGCCATAGTTTTATTAACTTTTCTCTGATGTGGAGTATTCCATTGCATGGACACACCACAACATATTTATCTGTTCTCCTGTTGATGTATATTTGGGTTGTTTCAAGTATTTTTTCTTTCACTACTCTTAACATTGGGCTGTGAACATTCTCGTGCATGCCACCTGCTGCATTGTGCAAAAGTTTTTTTAAGATGCAGTTTGAGAAGTGCCTGTTAATATCCTTTGCCCACTTTTTGATGGGGTTGGGCATTTATGCTGCCAACAATCATATGAAAAAAAGCTCATCATCACTGGTCATTAGAGAAATGCAAATTAAAACCACAATGAGATACCATCTCACACCAGTTAGAATGGCAATTATTAAAAAATCAGGAATCAACAGATGCTAGGAGGTGAGGAGAAATAGGAACACTTTTACACTGTTGCTGGGAGTGTAAATTAGTTCAACCATTGTGGAAGACAGTGTGGTGATTCCTTAAGGATCTAGAACCAGAAATACCATTTGACCCAGCAATCCCATTACTGGGTATATACTCAAAGGATTATGAATTATTCTACTATAAAGACACATGTACACGTATGCATATTGCAGCACTATTTACAATAGCAAAGACTTGGAACCAACCCAGATGCCCGTCAATGATAGACTGGATAAAGAAAATGTGGCACATATACACCGTGGAATACTATGCAGCCATAAAAAAGAATGAGTTCTTGTTCTTTGCAGGGACATGGATGAAGCTGAAAGCCATCATTCTCAGCAAACTAACACTGGAACGGAAAATCAAACACCACATGTTCTCACTCATAAGTGGGAGTTGAACAATGAGAATACATGGACACAGGGAGAGGAACATCACACACCAGAGCCTGTTGGGGGTTAGGGGGCAAAAGA